>NW_025791785.1:300000-429744 GCF_000001405.40 Homo sapiens
GGGTGGTGGCACACATCTGTAGCCCCAACTACTCTGGAGGATGAAGAAGGAGAATCACCTGGGCAACAGAGGGAAACTCCATCTCAAACAAACAAAAAGGTTAAATGATAAAGCCACCATGAATCTTTCTAGTTATACAAAGGTGAAAAATAGACAGGTATAAACTAAGTGGACCCACTCTGTTGAGTCCAAGAGGAAAAAATGGAATTCTCCTCTGTCCACGACTTTGAGTAAAGACAGAAAGATACTTTGCAATGTGTCTTCTTTACCTGCCAACTTCTGATATAGAGGCTGGAAAAAGGTTATTATTTAGTAGCCAGTGGCATGGCCAAGGCTCAGTCAAGCTAAACTAGAGACTTCACAAATACATACAGCAGCCATGTGTTGGCACACCCAAGACTCTTCTGCTTTGTGCGACTCTTTTTTTTTTTTTTTTTTGAGACGGAATCTCACTCTATTGCCCAAGTGCGATGGCACAATCTCAGCTCACTGCAATCTCCCCCTCCCAGGTTCAAGTGATTCTCCTGCTTCAGCCTCCCAAGTAGCTGGGATTAGAGGCACGCAACACCATGTCTGGCTAATTTTCATATTTTTAGTAGAGACGGGGTTTCACCATGTTGGCCAGGCTGCTCTTGAACTCCTGACCTCATGATCTGCCTGCCTCGGCCTCCCAAAGTGCTGGGATTACAGGCGTGAGCCACTACACCCGGCACCAGCAACTCTTATATCAGAGTCTAGCTGTCTGGGGAAGACAAGTGATCTCCCGAAAAATGCAGGAGAAATGAAGACACCAACATTTGTTAAGTGTGTTGTGAGCCAAACTGTTTCTATGTTCTCTGATTCTCAAAAAAGAAAAAAATAGTCCTACAAGATGAATAACGTTACATCCATTTGAAAGATTTGGAGACATACAAAAGTTGAGTAACTTGGTCAAGACCAACACAATGCTGCCTCTAGTAAACAGCAGAGAAGAATGTGATGGAGTGGCTCTGGTCCTCCACCCGCTGCTCACCTGCGCTCAGTTTTCCACCATGAACGGAGGCGTCACGTGTTTGCCATTCTCCAAGTCATTAAGCTAAAAGAAACTTCCGGGAAGTAAATTAGTCCAGGAATATCATCAAGGCCACTGCAGAGAGATCGACACTTTACACATCGCCTAATATATGTGTTTATGTAAATGGCAATAAACAAGCCTGATTTACATCAGTGTCTTCAATATAGTTTCCCTTGACTTTGCATAATGAATTTTAACATTCGACTTTAGGTAGGTGAAATTTAGATACAAAAGTCAAAGCAGTGGGGCAACGTATGCATTCAGAAAAGGGAAATACTGGCCAGGTGCGGTGGCTCATGCCTGTAATCCCAGCACTTTGGGAGGCCAAGGTGGGCGGATCGCCTGAGGTCAGGCATTCGAGACCAGCCTGGCCAACATGGTGAAACTCCGTCTCTACTAAAAATACAAAAATTAGCTGGGCGTGCTGGCACATGCCTGTAATCCCAGCTACTTGGAAGGTTGAGACAGGAGAATTGCTTGAACCCGGGAGGCGGAGGTTGCAGTGAGCCGAGACTGCAGTGAGCCGAGACTGCACCACTGCACTCCAGCCTGGGCAAGAAGAGCAAAACTCTGTCACTCACACACACACTCACACACACACAAACACAGAAAGAAAAGAAAGAAAAGAAAAGGGAAACATCAATAAATAAGCCCTTGCCAGACTCCTGGAAGATTTGAAAAAAAAAGGGAGCAAGAGTTCTTTAGATCTCAGAGAGGGGCAAATGAGAAAACAAGTCAGAGATAATGTCCATGGTGAGGCAACTGCAGGTTGAACTACATAGTTTCCGAGCTTTCTTCCCGCATAAGAACCTATGATTCGATTCTATCAGAAGGGAAAATAGTGAGTGAGAAGGGGGACCTTTGTAGTGAGACTTCAGTGAGACCCCCAATATTAATATTGTATCTCTTTCCTGGGCTCAAAAAGCCAAGCTGACTCCCTGGAACCTTCACTGTGAATAATGAGCAATGTTGGCGCTTTGCCCAGTGAACGTTCATCTTCCAGAACCCAAGGCCACCTCCTTTTTCACTTTTCATCAAAGTGAAAGTCAATTAATGTGACTGCTCTCTCCAAAAGGAGAGAAAGCATTGGCTCAGTTAGCTTCAAATTCAGCCGCATTTATCACATATTTTAAAAAGCCAGACTCTTACAGATGTCCTCATGACAATTCTGGATGAAAATTCCCTAATTTTTATTTGTAAATCATCTCTATTGAGGTATAATTATACACAAAAAACATCCATTTTAAGTGTCCAGTTTCTTGTGTTTTGACAAATATATACACCTGTGTAACCATCAACACAATCATGACGCAGAATATTTTTATCAACCTGTGAATTTCCCTCCTTCCCCAGCCCCAGTCAGCCACTGATATGCTTTTTGTAGTTATAAATATTTTACCTTTCATTTTCTATAAACAAAACCACATGCATGATCATATTTGTATCCACTTTGTTAAACTCAATATAGTGTTTTCAAGGTTCATCCATGTTATTGCAAGTATCAGTAGCTCTTCTTTTTTTTTTTTTTTCTTTTTTGGTGAGATGGAGTCTTGCTGTCACCAGACTGGAGTGCAGTGGCACGACCTCGGCTCACTACAACCTCTACCTCCTGGGCTCAAGCGATTCTCCTGCCTCAGCCTCCTGAGTAGCTGGGACTACAGGCACGTACCACCACACCCAGCTAATTTTTGTATTTTTAGTAGAGACGGGATTTCGCCATGTTGGCCAGGGTGGTCTCGATCTCTTGACCTCATGATCCACCCGCCTCAGCCTCCCAAAGTGCTGGATTGCAGGCATGAGCCACCCCGACTGGCCATCAGTAGTTCATTTCTTTATGTTGCTGAATAGTACTCCATTGTATGGATAACTATGGTTTATTTATACCACACTCACCTGTTGATGGGTGTTTAGGTTGTTTGTAGTTTGGGACTCTTATGAATTAACATAAAATGAACATTCATGAACAAGTCTTAGTGTGAACACAGGTTTTGACATATCTGGGATAAATAGCCAGGAGTGAACTTTCTCATTTGATGGTATGTAAATGTTTAACTTTATAGTAAACTCTTTTCCAAAGTAGTTGTGCCACTTTACACTCCTACCAGAAGTGGGTAAGAGTTCTAATTGTGGCCGGGCGTGGTGGCTCACGCCTGTAATCCCAGCACTTTGGGAGGCCGAGGTGGGTGGATCCCAAGGTCAGGAGATAGAGACCATCCTGGCTAACACAGTGAAACCCCATCTCTACTAAAAATACAAAAAATTAGCTGGGCATGGTGGCGGGTGCCTGTAGGCCCAGCTACTCGGGAGGCTGAGGCAGGAGAATGGCGTGAACCCGGGAGGCGGAGCTTGCAGTGAGCTGAGATCACGCCACTGCACTCCAGCCGGGGCAACAGAGCGAGACTCCGTCTCAAAAACAAAAAAAAAAAAAAAGAGTTCTAATTGTTCTACATCCTCATCAACATTCTGTATTTAGTTTCCCATTTCAGCCACTATGGCAAGCGTGAAGTAGTATACCTTTGTGGTCCTAGTTTGCATTTTTCCCTGATGACTGATGATGTGAAGGATTTTCACTGGCCATGTACTTATCTTCCATTCAAGTCTTTTGTCCAGTTTTCCCTATTGTGTTCTTTTTATTAAAGAATTTAAGTTATTTAAATATCTTTAGACTGGGCATGGTGGCTCACACCTGTAATCCTGGCACTTTGGGAGGCTGAGGCAGGAGGATTGCTTGAGCCCAGAAGTTTGAGACCAGCCTGAGCAGCACAGTAAGACTCTGTCTCCATAAAAAATATAAATAAAAATAGAAATTTAGCCAAGCATAATGGTGTGCACTTGTAGTCCCTGCTACTCCAGAGGCTGAGGCACGAGGATCACTTGAGCCTAGGAGTTTGAGGCTACAGTGAGCCATGATGACACTACTGCACTCGAGCTTGGGTGACAGAATGAAAGAGACCCTGTCTCAAAAAAAAAAAAAAAAAAAAAGTTATACAAGTCCTTTGTCTAATACAGTTATGGTGAATATCCTCTCTCAGTCTGTGGCTTGCCTTTTTCTTTTCTTTTCTTTTTTTTTAGATGGAGTCTCACACTGTCGCCTGGGCTGGAGTGCAGTGGTGCAATGTTGACTCACTGCAACCTCTGCCTCCGAGGTTCAAGCAATTCTCCTGCCTCAGCCTCCCGAGTAGCTGGGATTACAGAGGCCTGCCACCACGTCCAGCTAATTTTTTGTATTTTTATTAGAGACAGGGTTTCATCATGTTTGCCAGGCTGGTCTCGAACTCCTGACCTTGTGATCCGCCTACCTCAGCCTCCCAAAGTGCTGGGATTACAGGCGTGAGCCACAGTGCCCAGCAGCCTTTTCCTTTTTTCCTTCGTTTTCTTTCTTTCTTTTTTTTTTCTTTTGAGACGGAGTCTCGTTCTGTCACCCAGGCTAGAATGCAGTGGCATGATCTCGGCTCACTGCAACCTCCGTCCCCTGGGTTCAAGCAATTCTCCACCTCCAGCCTCCCAAGTAGCTGAGATTACAGGTACCTGCAGTGGGGGAGAGCATGTTTTCCAGACCCTGTTTCTAAGGAAAAATAATTAAAAAAATTAAAGAGGTAGACTGAGGAAAAGGAGAGCCCTGTGCCCTTAAGGAGCATATATTTGGGTCAAAGACAGGAAATAAACACACAATGGATAGATGAACAGAGAGCTATAGAAAAAAAAAACAGATGGGAAAAATTTCAAGCACCAACAAATTCTCTGAAAAAGATAAAACAATGTAATATGGTAGAAAAGGACTTAAAAAAAAAGGGTTATCACTTCTTTATGAAAATGTGACCTAACTGAAAAGATCAAAATAGTGAGTACGAACCAAAGGATAAGGAGAACAATAGAAAGTGTGAAGGTCCTGAGGCAGAACTGAGCATGGTACATTTAGGATGCAGAAAGGAGGGGAGAAAATATGGTAAACAAGAGAAACACAGAGGCGATGTTGGAGAGGGTGCTGGCCCACCTCACAGCCCATGGAGAGGCCTTTAACTTTATTCTGAGAATAATGAGAAGCCACTGAAGGATGCAAGCCACGCAGACGTGATCTGTTTTAGACTTTGGCCAGATCCCTTCTGGCTGCTCTGTGGGTATGAACCATGCTAAGGAGGCCACCTAGGCACTGCTGGGGCCTGCAGGTAAGGGAGTGATGGTGGAGGTCCGTGTTGTGGCAGTGGAGACACTGAAGACTGTTCAGAGCCAATATGTGTTTACAAGGTAGAGCTATCAAGATGTACTGCCATGGCCAGGCATGGTGGCTCACGCCTGTAATCCCGGCTGCTTGGGAGGCGAAGGTGCGGAAGAATCACTTTAACCCGAGAAGCGGCGGTTGCAGTGAGCCGAGATGGCACCACTGCACTCCAGCCTGGGTGACAGAGCAAGACCCCATCTCAAAAAAATAAAAAATAAAATAAAATAAAAAATAACATAACAATATGTAAGAAAACAGAAACCAGGAAGGAGCAAGGAAGCAATCATGATGAATGAGAGGTCCAGCATCTCATTGTCAGGATATTGTGATCTGGTGAGTTTCAGTTCTTTGATCCTTTCTTGAGAGCCATGAAGGTCATTTCCTGAGGAAGGAACTCAGATAAAACCAATGTAAGGTTTAAGCTCTAAGACGAGAAAAGTGAATTTCTATGTTCATTCAAAAAATTTTTGGGCCGGGCGCTGTGACTCACGCCTGTAATCCCAGCACTCTGACAGGCCAAGGCGGGCGGATCACGAGGTCAAGAGATCAAGACCATCCTGGCCAACATGGTGAAACTGCGTCTCTACTAAAAATACAAAAATATTAGCCGGGCGTGGTGGCTGGCGCCTGTAGTCCTAGCTACTCAGGAGACTGAGGTAGGAGAATAACTTGAACCCAGGAGGGGAGCCGGAGGTTGCAGTAAGCCGAGATTGCCCCGCTACACTCCAACCTGGCCACACCCCAGCCTGGCGACAGAGCGAGACTCCGTCTCAAAAAAAAAAGAAAAGAAAAGAAAAGAAAAAAAAATATCTATGTGACTATTGGGTTGGTTTCATAAGCAGGTTGATATGTCAGTAAGAAGTCCTGCATAGAGATTTTCAGCTAGTGATGCTAACTGAGACTGTGGATGTGGAAGTAGAAGAGGTCACTGAGGATGAGAGTGTTTAGAGAGGATGTGAGAATCTGGGGAAGAGAAACAAGATTTTTACATAAGAAAACTATGGATATGTTATGGAGTAAAGTTCACAACTTTTTAGCATAAATTCTGACTTTGCATGATGTCCACTTACTATAATGTCTAATTGTTCCTGGAGGGAAGGCCTTGAGAGTAAGTTGTCCAGGTCCTTGGCGTTTTGAACAAAGAATTGGACAAAACAGCACAAACAAAGCAAAAAAGGAACGAAGCACAAAAACGAAGCAGCAAGAGCAGGGATTGATTGATTGATTGATTTTTTTGACACAGAGTCTCACTCTGTCGCCAGGCTGGAGGGCAGTGGCATGATCTCGGCTCACTGCAATCTCCACCTCCCAGGCTCAAGCGATTCTCCTGCCTCAGCCTCCTGAGTAGCTGGGACTACAGGCACGCCACCACACCCAGCTAATTTTTGTATTTTTAGTAGAGATGGGTTTTCACCATATTGACCAGGATGGTCTCATCTCCTGACCTCGTAATTTGCCGGCCTCAGCTTCCCAAAGTGCTGGAATTACAGGGGTAAGACACCACGCCCGGCCAGCAGGGATTTATGAAAGTGAGAAAGCACTCTGCAGGGTGGGAGTGGGCCCAAGCAAGCGGCTCAAGGGCCCCATTACAAAGTTTTCTCGCTTTTAAGTACTCCTTTTGAGGTCCCTGTCGGTTACCCCTTATCTGGATGAAAATTTGGTCTGTGACTAATTAAACGCTAGGGTGAACTGGCCCCCTATGCAGATGAAGGGATGGCTGGTGCTTGACCCACTTTTTGTCTCAGAAATATAACTAACTACCTACTTTTTTAAAAAAAATTAAAAGTCATTCTTCGCATCATTTAAAGTGTTGGTGATGATGCATTTAAGAGAATCCACAATCCACCTAAAGGCTATTATTGCTGGGCTCTTAAACCTGTTTTGCAATCATGAAGTGCTGGTATACTTTTGGTCCTGCCTCAGGAATGTTGGTAAATACACTTGCCTCGCCACCTTTCCCACCTTCTTTCAGAACCATTTGTTTTTAGGAATTACAAAAACACAGAGAGGCCGGGCACAGTAGCTCACGCCTGCAATCATAGAACTTTAGGAAGCCAAGGTAGATGAATTGCTTGAGCCCAGGAATTTGAGAGCAGCCTGGGCAACATGGCAAAACCCCTGTCTCAGCAAAACACGGAAAAAAAAAATCAGCTACGCATGGTGGTGTGTGCCTATAGTCCCAGCAACTCGGGAGGCTGAGGTGGGAGGATTGCTTGAGCCCGGGAGGTTGAAGCTGCAGTGAGCTGTGACTGCAGGCTCAACTTCCAAGCTGAGACCAAGCACTCCTTGTTTTTTCATTTTTTAAGTATTTATTTATTTGAAGACAGGGTGTCATCCAAGATAACAGAGACCCTGTCTTCAAATAAATAAATATTTTAAAAATGAAAAAACAAGGAGTGCTTAGTCTCAGATTTTTTTCCAGCAAATGTTGCCAATACTCTACCATGCTCAGAGAATGACAGCCACATCATGACTGCCACCTGGCCCTCAGAGGTGGTAAGACAGCAGCGATAGTAGAATCTATCCCAAATTCAGTGATTTAAAACGTGAAACACATGTGCATCACAGCACGATGCAATCCAGTACTGAAGGTAGAGGGAAGGGGAAAAAACTAGGAAGAGTAGTACTGCCACAGAGGCCACGATACGGCTGCAATATGAAGTACTGCCACAGATGTCACAGTATTGCTGCAATATAAAGTACCGCCACAATAAGAAGTATTGCCACAGAGGCCACGGTACTGCTGCAATAACAAGTACCACCACAATATGAAGTATTGCCACAGAGGCCACAGTACTGCCACAATATAAAATACTGCCACAATATGAAGTATTGCCACAGAGGCCACGGTACTGCCGCAATATAAAATACTGCCACAATATGAAGTATTGCCACAGAGGCCACGGTACTGCTGCAATAAAAAGTACTGCCGCAATAAAAAGTACTGCCACAGAGTCCACAGTACTGCTACAATGTGAAGTATTGCCACAGAGGCCATGCTACTGCCGCAATGTGAAGTACTGCTACAGAGGACACAGTACTGCCACAATATGAAGTACTGCCAAAGAGGCCACGGTACTTCCGCAATATGAAGTACTGCCACAATATGAAGTACTGCCACAGAAGCCACAGTCCTGCCACAATATGAAGTACTGCCACAGAGGCCATGGTACTGCTGCAATATGAAGTACTGCCACAATATGAAGTATTGCCACAGAAGCCACAATTCTGCCACAATATGAACTACTGCCACAGAGGCCACAGTACTGCTGCAATATGAAGTACTGCCACAGAGGCCACGGTACTGCCACAATATGAAGTACTGCCACAGAGGCCATGGTACTGCTGCAATATGAAGTACTGCCACAATATGAAGTACTGCCACAGAGGCCATGGTACTGCCACAATATGAAGTACTGCCACAATATGAAGTATTGCCACAGAAGCCACGGTTCTGCTGCAATATGAAGTACTGCCGCAGAGGCCACAGTACTGCTGCAATATGAAGTACTGCCACAGAGGCCACGGTACTGCCACAATATGAAGTACTGCTGCAGAGGCCACTGTACTGCTGCAATATGAAGTACTGCCACAATATGAAGTATTTTCACAGAAGCCACAGTTCTGCTGCAATATGAAGTACTGCCACAATATGAAGTATTGCCACAGAGGCCATGGTACTGCTGCAATATGAAGTACTGCCACAATATGAAGTATTGCCACAGAAGCCACAGTTCTGCTGCAATATGAAGTACTGCTGCAAAGGCCACAGTACTGCCACAATGTGAAGTCCTGCCACAGAGGCCACGGTACTGCCACAACGTGAAGTACTACCACAGAGGCCACGGTACTGCCACAATATGAAGTCCTGCCACAGAGGCCATGGTACTGCCACAATGTGAAGTCCTGCCACAGAGGCCATGGTACTGCCACAACGTGAAGTACTGCCACAGAGGCCACAGTACTGCCACACGTGAAGTCCTGCCACAGAGGCCACGGTACTGCCACAATGTGAAGTCCTGCCACAGAGGCCACGGTACTGCCACAATGCGAAGTCCTGCCACAGAGGCCACAGTACTGCCACAACGTGAAGTACTGCCACAGAGGCCACGGTACTGCCACACGTGAAGTCCTGCCACAGAGGCCATGGTACTGCCACAATGTGAAGTCCTGCCACAGAGGCCACGGTACTGCCACAATGTGAAATCCTGCCACAGAGGCCACGGTACTGCCACAATGTGAAGTCCTGCCACAGAGGCCACTGTACTGCCACTATGTTAAGTACTGCCGCAGAGGCCACAGTACTGCTGCAATGGGAAGTACTGTCACAGAGCCCGCAGTACTGCTGCAATGTGAAGGAGTAACAGGGTTAAAAACATACTGCATTGATGTCCCTTTCAGTATTCTAGATTTTCAGTATCACCAAGGCTAGCCAGTCTTGCTGCTATCAAAGCTATGTTGAAAGGCTATAAGTAGTTTTACTGTCATTTTGATGATCTGCATTTTCTAACTCTCTTAAATTGAATCTAGATTATGTGTGTAATATTTTTAAAGCCATAACGTGTGATTCGATGTTTTCTTGTTTCATCTAGGTTAATTTTACTATTTCTTGTACATGTCCTAACATTGATATCCAGGGAGGAGCATCTACGTACAGAATAACTACATTGGAGAAGTTGAAATAAGTGTTCGTGAGATGATTTTGCACAATGATCACCCACACTGTAACATGCACACTGCTGGCAAGCAACAGTTGGCCAGCAAGGGCTTCACAGGTAAAAGGTGCTAGTTACGTGGCTGTTTCCAGGAGAACTCTTGATGTTTTAAGGGCTTTGCAGTCCTTCCCATTTGAAAGCGGAGCAGCACCATCTAGTTGTGAAAACCAAGAGTGCAGGCTCCCTTTTTCCTTCTAGTGTGGATCTTGGCAACACTTCCCAGATTAAACAATTGGTTCTCAGACCTGCTTCCATTTTTATTAATAAGACAATTACATAGTCAAGTTTCTGTGGCTGTTAGTGATACATGTCTTATAAACAAACGCAAAAATGTCAAAACCTCAAAATTCTCTGTAAGTAGTGACTGTACATCTCTAGTATCGCCTGTAAACGGTCATAACTTTTCAAACAACTTGTATAAGTTTTGGATTATGTTGGCAATATCAGACACATTTTGCCTAAAGATAGATGTGTTTTAATGATGAAAGTATTGTTTCTGTTCTAGAATGTCATCATCACAGAGTGTGAATCCTAGTCTATAATTCACTTGTCCTTATTAAATTATTTTACAAATTACATACTATGCAAACTCTATCACTAGACTTATTGTCTTCTTATTACCTGTCTCTCTCTCTTTTTTTTTTTTTTTTTTTTTTTGAGATGGAGTTTCACTCTTGTTGCACAGGCTGGAGTGCAATGGCGTGATCCCGGCTCACTGCGACCTCCGCCTCCCAGGTTCAAGCGATTCTCCTGCCTCAGCCTCTCCAGTAGCTGGGAGTACAGGCGCCTGCCACCACGCCCAGCTAATTTTTTGTATATTTAGTAGAGACAGGGTTTCACCATGTTGGCCAGGCTGGTCTTGAACTCCTGACCTCAGGTGACCCACCCGCCTCGGCCTTCCAAACTTCTGGGATTACAGGCATGAGCTACCGCGTCTGGCCCTTATTACGTGTCTCTTAATTAATTTTTGGAAATTCTTAACTTGGTAGGCTTTATGAAGAAAATACATAAATTCTTTAAGATAGACATTTTCTGTCTATCTTATTTTCTGGTAGGTTAACAAGTGACATTTCTGAGTAATTTGTAAAATGTGACAGATAACCAATTCTATACGGCAGGGGTCCCCAAGCACAGACTGGTACCAGTTTGTGGCCTGTTAGGAACCGGGCCGCACAGCAGGAGGTGAGCTACGAGTGATCCAGCATTACTGCCTGAGCTCTGCCTCTCATTAGATCAGCAGCAGCATTAGATTCTCACCCCTATTGTGAACTGCACATGTGCAGGAGAGAATCTAGCTAATGCCTGATGATCTGAAGTGGAACAGTTTCATCCTGAAACTCTCCCCCTAGTCCCTGTCCATGGAAACGTTGTCTTCCACAAAAACGGTCCCTTGGTGCCAAAAAGGCTGGGTACCACTGCTATATGGGATATTAAGCTACTATAATATGTGAAGTTATACCACTTGCCAAGAATACTGGCTTTATTTTGATATTCATCTTCCCGATTCTTTTGGATTCTCAGCCACTATTTTGTAGTCTTTTATTCTTTTTCTATCTTGTTTCTGCAATATATAGCAGCAACAGTATAATGAGTTTCATCTAGAATTCTATTTGTTCAGAGTATCTCTTCACTGTTATTTCCCTATTTCCAGAGTATATTGGCAGGCAAGTGATATTCATGGACATGTCTTATGCCAGCAGGGTGCCACACTGCTCTGTTCACTTGTCACATTGAACCATAATTACTTTTTCCTCTATATTTCCACCTGGATTATGATCTGAAAGTTGTCAGACTGAGGATAGTGCTAAGGAAAGGTATTCAAACCTGGGATACAAAGCAAAAAGGTGAGTGGCACATCCTTTCCTTGTCATGTGGGAAAGAAGGCTTAAGGCAGAATTGTAAGCTGCCTGGCTGAGTGTTGAAAGCATGCCCCCAACATGCAATCACAGTCCCTTGACAAAGACTATGAGTATTTAATAAAAAATCTGGCCCTGGCTGGGCGCGGTGGCTCATGCCTGTAATCCCAGCACTTTGGGAGGCTGAGGTGGGTGGATCACCTGAGATCAGAAGTTCAAGACCAGCATGACCAACATGGCAAAACCCCATCTCTACTAAAAATACAAAAATTAGCCAGCTGTGGTGGCCTGTGCCTGTAATCCCAACTACTCAGTAGGCTGAGGCAGGAGAATTACTTGAACCTGGGAGGTGGAGGCTGCGGTGAGCTGAGATCACACCATTGCATTCCAGCCTGGGCCACAGAGCGAGACTCCACCGCAAAAAAGAAAAGAAAATAAAAGAAAATATCTGTTTAATCTTCAGCTGACCACTAAGCAATATAGTTGTGACTTCAGTGGCAAAAGAAAAAAAATACAAGCTTTATGGATTTAGTTCAGAAAAGTCACTAAACAAACAACTGCAATAAGCAGTAACAACCGCAAACACTGGGGAGTGCCAGAAGGAGAGAAAAGAAAAGACAGAGAGAATGTTTGAAGAAATAACAGCTGGAAACTTACCAAATTTGGTAAGCTCATTAATATCCACATCCAATAAGCTCAACAAATTCCAAGGCATTAATATATACATCCAATAAGCTCAACAAATTCCAAGTCATATAAACTCAAACACATACATGCCTAAACATGTCATAACCAAACTGTCAAATGTCAAAATAAAGGCAGAATCTTGAAAACAGCAAGAAATGACTTATCACATACAATGAACGTCAATGAGATCAACACCTGATTTCTCATGTGGAACCTTGGAGGCCAGAAGGCAGTGGGATGATGTACTCAAAACCCTGAAAGAAAAAAAAACTGTTAACCAAAAATTCTATACCTGGTAAAACTATTCTTCAAAAATGAAGATGAAATTATCAATACATCTGCTGATAGTTCAATTCACATTTAACACTCTGTAAAACTTTAGGGAAAACTTTTTTTTTTTTTTTTGAGACAGAGTTTTGCTCTTGTTGCCCAGGCTAGAGTGCAATGGCACAATTTCGGCTCATTGCAACCTCCACCTCCCAGGTACAAGCAATTTTCCTGTCTCAGCCTCTCAAGCAGCTCCAATTACAGGCATGCGCCACCATGCCCAGCTGATATTTTTGTATTTAGTAGACATGGGGTTTCACCATGTTAGTCAGGCTGCTCACAAACTCCTGACCTCAGGTGATCCACCTACCTCGGCCTCCCAAAGTGCTGGGATTACAGGCATGGGCCACCACGCCCAGCCAGGAAAACTTCTATAAAACATAAAAATGTTCCAAAATAAGCTGACTATACTTGCTGAATTTTGATATTAAACAAAATATTTTGCCATCTTGGTAACCTAACATAGATGTTTCCATCAAATATTATGTGATGCACATCAAAGTTACTTCAAGTCATAGAGGAAGAAATTTAAAAGTTTACCCACCAATGACTTCCATAAAAGCTCCAAGTAGAGAAAAGAATTATGACAATGTGCTAATCTGGTCCAAGCATTTTTGCCTACAATCAGAACCAGAATTTTTGTTTTGTCCATTATGTTTCAGCACTATAATTTCACTAGTGATTCATTTGTATATTTATCTACTGACACAATTCTAGAAATTCTTTGTGAAATACATATACATTCTGTTAAAATTTTTATCTTTCCTGTAAAACACACAGAAGTGCATGCACACACATTGTTGTTTTTTATCAGTTTTACCTAACTGAAAAGCAAGTGAGTTGACAGTAACTTGATTTAATCATAATGTAGCTGATATGCTTTTTAAAAAATGCTTCAGCATCTATTGATTTAGTTAAGTCTATTTTCACAGAATAATAAAAATTTTTTTGTTTGTTTGTTTTGGAGACAGAGTCTTGCTGTTGCCAGGCTGGAGTGCAGTGGCGTGATCTCAGCTCATTGCAACCTCCACCTCCTGGGTTCAAGTGATTCTCCTGCCTCAGCCTCCCAAGTAGCTGGAACTACAGTGCACCACCATGCCTGGCTAATTTTTGTATTTTATTTTATTTTTATTTATTTATTTATTTTTGAGACAGAATCTTGCTCTGTCGCCCAGGCTGGAGTGCAGTGGCATGATCTTAGCTCACTGCAAGCTCCACCTCCTGGGTTCACACCTCCAGAGTCCCAGCCTCCAGAGTAGCTGGGACTAAAGGTGCCTGCCATCACAAAATACAAAAAATCGACTAATTTTTTGTATTTTTAATACAGACGGGGTTTCACCGTGTTAGTCAGGATGGTCTCGATCTCCTGACCTCGTGATCTGCCCGCCTCGGCCTCCCAGAGTGCTGGGATTACAGGCGTGAGCCACCGTGCCTGGCCTAATTTTTGTATTTTTAGTAGAGATGGTGTTTCACCATGTTGGTCAGGCTGGTCTCGAACTCCTGACTTCATGATCCACCTGTCTCGGCCTCCCAAAGTGCTGGAATTACAGGCATGAGCTACTGTGCCTGGCCCAGAATAGTAAATTTAAATGCAAAAGCTTAACTAAATTTTAACAACCGTTACCATTTATTTAGAATCTTTGAGCTAAATCTGTGGGACTCATTATTTCTAATTCTCCCATCAACGCAGCAGATGGGTATCATTATTATTCTCAAGTTACAGATGAAGAATACAAAGATTAAGTATGTTGCTGAAGCTCATGCTTAGTAAATTGTAGGGCTAAGGTCTGAAGATTGATCCCCATGTGAAGAAGAGTCATTCTCACCACACTGCGAAAACTTAAGGTTCTCACCCTGAAATCTGCTGCCTACATTTTTCAATCCCTTGAAACTGCTTTCAATAAAGCCCCCTGTGGCCTCCTTGTCACTAAGTTTAAGATGAACAATCTTTTTTTCTTTAACTTTTAAGTTCAGGGGTACAAGTGCAGGTTTGCCACATAGGTAAGCTTGTATCATGGGGGTTTGTTGTACAGACAATTTCATCAATCAGGTATTAACTTTAGTACCCATTAGTTGTTTTTCCTCATCTTCCCCCTCCTTCCACCCTTCACTCTCTGAAACGCCCCAGTATGTATTGTTCCCCTCTATGTGAGAGCTAAATGATGAACATTTTTCATCCTTATCTTCGTTGACCCTTCCACATCTGAAATTGTGACCTCCTCCCTCTCTGTGAAACAGAACCTTCTCTTGCCTTCCTCACCACCACCCTTCTGGTTTGCTTCCTACCTTCCTGGCTACTCCCTCTTACAATCCCTTGCCTATTATACCTCCTCCACCTCACTCATAAAGTTTGGAGCCCTTCAGAGCTCTGTTCTAAGTGGCTTTGCCTTTTCTTTTCTCATCATTCAATAATGCAACAAAATTTAGTGAACCTCTGTTATTCACAAGCACTTACGAGGCTTGGGTACCCTGCAGTGAGCAAGAGAGGTGAACATTGAGTAGATAATGACATGAGGAAGAGCCAAGACGGGAGGTTGGAGAATCCATGAGGAAAAAGTCATGCAGTGCCTCACGGGCTGCAGTAAGGATCTGCATATTCCTTGAGGATAGCATAGTCATTGAGGGACGTTAAACAGAGGAGTGATGTGATCTCATTTGTGTTTGTATAAGTCCACTCTGGCTACAGCAGTAAGAATAGATTGGGGTTGGGAGTGGGGACAATCACCATCATTCTTGGTCAGGCTTACTTTGAGACAGAGTCTTCCTTGTCACCCAGGCTGGAGTTCAGTGGCACAATCTTGGCTCACTGCAACTTCCACCTCCCAGATTCAAGCGATTCTCCTGCCTCAGCCTCCCGAGTAGCTGGGATTACAGGTTTGCACCACCACACCCGGCTAATTTTTGTACTTTTAGTAGAGACAGGGTTTCACCATGTTGGCCAAGCTGGCCTCGAACCCCTGACTTCAGATGATCTGCCCACCTCAGGCTCCCAAAGTGCTGGGATTACTGTCTCCCCAGATAGTTTTGGCGTTAAAGTATATTGAAGGATGGTAGTCACTGAATATTTCACATGCTAGTCTTGTGGTACAAAAATATAAATATATACTCCAAGGTCATGAACTAAATGAAAATACTAATAGGCAGGGGTTAGGGACTGATTTGTGTCTCCTCCCGCATCTTGTATGTTGAAGACCTAACCCCAATGTGACTGCTTGGAAATGGGACTTTTAAGGAGGTAATTAAGGTTAAATGAGGTCATAAGGGTGGTCTGTAATCCAATGTGTCTAATATCAGGACCTGATTAGATTGAACTTTCATAGTCTCCATTCTGATAATTTCCTCATTAATTTTATAACCAGAGGTCACGTGCTGTGGCTCACACCTGTAATCTCAGCACTTTGGGAGGCCAAGGTAGGCGGATCACCTGAAGTCTTGGGAGTTCGAGACCAGCCTGACCAACATGGAGAAACTCCGTCTCTACTAAAAATACAAAATTAGCTGACCATGGTGGTGCATGCCTGTAATTCCAGGTATTCAGGAGGCTGAGGCAGGAGAATTGCTTGAACCTGGGAGGTGGAGGTTGCAGTGAGCTGAGATTGTGCCATTGCACTCTAGCCTGGGCAACAAGAGTGAAACTCCATCTCAAGAAAAAAAAAATTTGTAACCAGTAAACAATTTTTGATTACAGTTTATTCAAACCAATAAAATTTTTGCTGCCCTGATCCTTTGATTAGAATTTAAAGGGGGTTGGCTGGGCACGGTGGCTCACACCTATATTCCCAGCACTTTGGGAGGCTGAGATGGGTGGATCACGAGGTCAGGAGTTTGAGACCAGCCTGGCCAACGCAGTAAAGCCCCATCTCTACTAACAAAAAATACAAAAATTAGCTGGGCATGGTGGCAGGCACCGGTAGTCCCAGCTACTCGGGAGGCTGGGGCAGGAGAATCACTTGAACCCAGGAGGCGGAGGTTGCAGTGAGCCAAAATTGTGCCACTGCACTCCAGCCTAGGCAAAAGAGCGAGACTCCGTCTCAAAAAAAAAAAAAAAAAAAAAAAAAAGAATTTAAAGGGAGTTTATATTAGCCTGAGTGTTATCTAGGCAATTTCTCTTCTAGAAAATATAGATGAAACCCACCACCAAATAAAATTGAAATTAAAAGAAAAAAACCCACAAATTTAAAAACACAGCTGAACTGTTCAGTGCTTCTGCCCCAGAAGAGAAAATGAAGATGGCCTTTCATCACTCAGGCAATCCCGCAATGGTTTCAGGGAAGAGCTCTACCTAGGGCACTGTTCAAAAGCACTTTGATAGTACTTTTTGATTCAGATTTTAAATTTTAAAAATCACCTAAAATTTTTCAATGGGATCATAAATACCACCTTCCTCCACAATCTCAAGGCAGTGTTTTTATTCTCTCTCCACTGTTTTTCTTTTAAATCTTTCCATTTCCTACCCATTTTTTGTTTGGCCATTTTCAGTACTTCAGAGCTGTGAGATTCAATGCTGCTCTCTGAGATGTCATTATTTATGTTATTCTTACCTGGTTGACTTGTTGTATCTCCTTTTTACTAGTGAATTGTTAAGGATTAAAGAGACCAAGAGGAAAGAGGCCAAGAAGACTATCAAAATACAATAACGGTATTTGTTTTCACATGTAATAGTAACGTCCAGGGTTCTGTTTTATCCAGAGGATCCTTTCATTATCGGCTATTGAGACATGTGGAGAACATCTCCTCTTAAGAAATATTTTTAAACTATTAAATGACAAATTACCATATACCATTTCTGGGGATATATTCAAAATGATTGAAAGCAGGATTTTGGGCTGGGTGTGGTGGCTCACACCTGTAACCCCACCACTTTAGGAGGCAGAGGCAGGTGGATCACGAGGTCAAGAGATCGAGACCATCCTGGCCAACATGGTGAAACTACATCTCTATTAAAATACAAAAATTAGCTGGGTATGGTGGTATGTGCTTGTAGTCCCAGCTACTTGGGAGGCTGAGGCAGGAGAACACTTGAACCTGGCAGGCAGAGGTTGCAGTGAGTGCACTGTACTCCAGCCTGGTGACAGAGTGAGATTCCACCTCAAAAAAAAAAAAAAAGAAAAGAAAAGAACAGAAAAGAAAGCTGGATTTTGAAGAGATGTTCACACCCACATTCAGACCCCAACAAATTCCAACAGACCTGCAGCTGAGGGTCCTGACTGTTAGAAGGAAAACCAACAAACAGAAAGGACATCCACACCAAAGCCCCATCTGCACGTCACCATCATCAAAGACCAAAGGTAGATAAAACCACAAAGATGGGGAGAAACCAGAGCATAAAAGCTGAAAATTCTAAAAATCAGAGCACCTCTTCTCCCCCAAAGGAACGCAGCTCCTTGCCAGCAATGGAACAAAGCTGGATGGAGAATGACTTTAATGAGTTGAGAGAAGGCGGCTTCAGACGATCGGTAATAACAATCTTCTCTGAGCTAAAGGAGGATATTCGAACACATCGCAAAGAAGCTATAAACCTTGAAAAAAGATTAGACGAATGTCTAACTAGAATAAATACTGTACAGAAGACCTTAAATGACCTCATGAAGCTGAAAACCATGGCACAAGAACTACGTGATGCATGCACAAGCCTCAGTAGCCGATTCGATCAAGTGGAAGAAAGGGTATCAGTGATTGAAGATCAAATGAATGAAATGAAGCGAGAAGAGAAGTTAGAGAAAAAAGAGTAAAAAGAAACAAACAAAGCCTCCAAGAAATATGGGACTACATGAAAAGACCAAATCTACGTCTGATTGGTGTACCCGAAAGTGATGGGGAGAATGGAACCAAGTTGGAAAACACTCTGAAGGATATTATCCAGGAGAACTTCCCCAATCTAGCAAGGCAGGCCAACATTCAAATTCAGGAAATACGGAGAATGCCACAAAGATACTCCACGAGAAGAGCAATTCCAAGACACATAATTGTCAGATTCACTGAAGCTGAAATAAAGGAAAAAATGTTAAGGGTAGCCAGAGAGAAAGGTCGGGTTACCCACAAAGGGAAGCCTATCAGACTAACAGCGGATCTCTTGTCAGAAACTCTACAAGCCAGAAGAGAGTGGGGGCCAATATTCAACATTCTTAAAGAAAAGAATTTTCAACCCAGAATTTCATATCCAGCCAAACTAAGCTTCATAAGTGAAGGAGAAATAAAATCCTTTACAGACAAGCAAATGCTGAGAGATTTTGTCACCACCAGGCCTGCCCTAAAAGAGCTCCTGAAGGAAGCACTAAACATGGAAAGGAATAACCGGTACCAGCCACACTGCAAAAACATGCCAAATTGTAAAGATCATTGATGCTAGGAAGAAACTGCATCAACTAACAAGCAAAATAACCAGCTAACATCATAATGACAGGATGAAATTCACATATAACAATATTAACCTTAAATGTAAATGGGCTCAATGCACCAATTAAAAAACATAGACTGGCAAATTGGATAGAGAGTCAAGACACTTCAGTGTGCTGTATTCAGGAGACCCATTTCACACGCAGAGACACACATAGGCTCAAAATAAAGGGATGGAGGAAGATCTACCAAGCAAATGGAAAACAAAAAAAAGCAGGGGTTGCAATCCTAGTCTCTGATAAAACAGACTTTAAACCAACAAAGATCAAAAGAGACAAAGAAGGCCATTACATAATGGTAAAGGGATGAATTCAACAAGAAGAGCTAACTATCCTAAATATACGTGCACCCAATACAGGAGCACTGAGATTCATAAAGCAAGTCCATAGAGACCTACAAAGAGACTTAGACTCCCACACATTAATAATGGGAGACTTTAACACCCCACTGTCAACATTACACAGATCAACAACACAGAAAGGTAACAAGGATATCCAGGAATTGAACTCAGCTCTGCACCAAGCGGACCTAATAGACATCTACAGAACTCTCCACCCCATATCAACAGAATATACATTCTTCTCAGCACCACACCACACCTATTCCAAAATTGACCACATAGTTGGAAGTAAAGTACTCCGCAGCAAATGTAAAAGAACAGAAATTATAACAAACTGTCTCTCAGACCACAGAGCAATCAACTAGAATTCAGGATTAAGAAACTCACTCAAAACTGCTCAATTACATGGAAACTGAACAGCCTGCTCCTGAATGACTACTGGGTACATAACGAAATGAAGGCAGAAATAAAGATGTTCTTTGAAACCAATGAGAACAAAGACACAACATACCAGAATCTCTGGGACACATTTAAAGCAGTGTGTAGAGGAAAATTTATAACACTAAATGCCTACAAGAGAAAGCAGGAAAGATCTAAAATTGACACCCTAACATCACAATTAAAACAACTAAAGACGCAAGAGCAAACACATTCAAAAGCTAGCAGAAGGCAAGAAATAGCAGAACTGAAGGAGACAGAGACACAAAAAACCCTTCTAAAAAATCAGTGAATCCAGGAGCTGGTTTTTTGAAAAGATCAACAAAATTGATAGATGGTTAGCAAGACTAATAAAGAAGAAAAGAGAGAAAAATCAAATAGACACAATAAAAAATCATAAAGGGGATATCACCACCAAGCCCACAGAAATACAAACTACCATCAGAGTATACTATAAACACCTCTATGCAAATAAACTAGAAAATCTAGAAGCAATGGATAAATTCCTGGACACATACACCCTCCCAAGACTAAACCAGGAATAAGTTGAATCCCTGAATAGACCAATAACAGGCTCTGAAATTGAGGCAATAATTAATAACCTACCAACCAAAAAAAGTCCAGGACCAGACAGATTCACAGCCGAATTCTACCAGAGGTAAAAGGAGGAGTTGGTACCATTCCTTCTGAAACTATTCCAATGAATAGAAGAAGAGGGAATCCTGCCAAACTCATTTTATGAGGCCAGCATCATCCTGATACCAAAGCCCAGCAGAGACAACAAAAAAAGAGAATTTTAGACCAATATCCCTGATGAACATTGATGCAAAAATCTTCAATAAAATACTGGCAAACCGAATCCAGCAGCATATCAAAAAGCTTATCACCACGACCAAGTTGGCTTCATCCCTGGGATGCAAGGCTGGTTCAACATACACAAATCAATAAACGTAGTCCAGCATATAAACAGAACCAATGACAAAAACCACATGATTATCTCAATAGATGCAGAAAAGGCCTTCAACAAAATTCAACAGCTCTTCATGCTAAAAACTCTCAATAAACTAGGTATTGATGGGATGTATCTCAAAATAATGAGAGCTATTTATGACAAACACAGAGCCAATATCACACTGAATGGGCAAAAACTGGAAGCATTCCCTTTGAAAACTGGCACAAGACAGGGATGCCCTCTCTCACCACTCCTATTCAACATAGTGTTGGAAGTTCTGGCCAGGGCAATCAGGCAGGACAAAGAAATAAAGGGTATTCGATTAGGAAAAGAGGAAGTCAAATTGTCCCTGTCTGCAGATGACATGATTGTATATTTAGAAAACCCCATTGACTCAGCCCAAAATCTCCTTAAGCTGATAAGTAAATTCAGCAAAGTCTCAGGATACAAAATCAATGTGCAAAAATCACAAGCTTTCCTATGCACCAATAACAGACAAACAGAGAGCCAAATCATGAGTGAACTCCCATTCACAATTGCTTCAAAGAGAATAAAATACTGAGGAATCCAACTTACAAAGGATGTGAAGGACCTCTTCAAGGAGACCACAAACCACTACTCAATGAAATAAAACAGGACACAAACAAATGGAAGAACATTCCATGCTCATGGATAGGAAGAATCAATATCGTGAAAATGGCCATACTGCCCAGGGTAATTTATAGGTTCAATGCCATTCTTATCAAGCTACCAATGACTTTCTTCACAGAATTGGAAAAAACTACTTTAAAGTTCATATGGAACAAAGAGCCCACATTGCCAAGACAATCCTAGCCAAAAGAACAAAGCTGGAGGCATCACACTACCTAACTTCCAACTATACTCCAAGGCTACAGTAACCAAAACAGCATGGTACTGGTACCAAAACAGAGATATAGACCAATGGAACAGAACAGAGCCCTCAGAAATAATACCGCGCATCTACAACCATCTGATCTTCGACAAACCTGACAAAAACAAGAAATGGGGAAAGGATTTCCTATTTAATAAATGGTGCTGGGAAAACTGGCTAGCCACATGTAGAAAGCTGAAACTGGATCCTTTCCTTACACCTTATACAAAAATTAATTCAAGATGGATCAAAGACTTAAATGTTAGACCTAAAACCATAAAAATGCTAGAAGAAAACCTAGACAATACCATTCAGGACATACGCATGGAAAACCATAAAAATGCTAGAAGAAAACCTAGACAATACCATTCAGGACATAGGCATGGGCAAGGACTTCATGACTAAAACACCAAAAGCAATGGCAACAAAAGCCAAAATTGACAAATGGGATCTAATTAAACTAAAGAGATTCTGCACAGCAAAAGAAACTACCATCAGAGTGAACAGGCAACCTACAGAATGGGAGAAAATTTTTACAATCTACCCATCTGACAAAGGGCTAATATCAAGAATCTATAAAGAACTTAAACAAATTTACAAGAAAAAATCAAACAACCCCATCAAAAAGTGGGCGAAAGATATGAACAGACACTTCTCAAAAGAAGACATTTATGCAGCCAACAGACACATGAAAAAATGCTCATCATCACTGGCCATCAGAGAAATGCAAATCAAAACCACAATGAGACACCATCTCACACCAGTTAGAATGGTGATCATTAAAACGTCAGGAAACAACAGGTGCTGGAGAGGATGTGGAGAAATAGGAACACTTTTTTTTTTTTGAGATGGAGATCGAGACCATCCTGGCTAACATGGTGAAACCCAGTCTCTACTAAAAATACAAAAAATTAGCCGGGCGTGGTGGCATGCGCCTGTAATCCCAGCTACTCAGGAGGCTGAGGTAGGAGAATCGCTTGAACCCAGGAGGCAGAGGTTGCAGTGAGCTGACATTGCACCGCTGCACTCCAGCCTGGGTGACATAGCAAGACTCTATCTCAAAAAAAAGAAAAAAAAAAAAAAGGATGAAATGCTGCCCTTCCCAAGTCTCCACCAAATGAATGGTCTCAGATGGTGGCACCATATCCAGGCTGCTGACAAGTCATCATCACTCAGCAGCAGCACTCACTAGATCAGCCTAAGTGAGAGAGAGAATATGTCTTGGCAGGTAGTCACACATCTCTTCCACACCTACTCCATTAATGAGCCCGTTGCACAAGCACTTGAGTGGCAAGAAAAAAATTCTCGAATATTTCCTGGCTGGCCTGTCTTAACCACTTCCGTTTTTCAAAAGTCTTCTGCAATGAATGCACTCTAGTGAGCAATAATAACTTGAAACACAAAGCTTGTCGCACTTGAAGCCCACTCCCATAGGTCTATCCACATGATTCTTCCCTAGAACTTCTTGTCTCTGATTTTCCAACCTTGCTCCTTTCAGAGCCCTAGCCAACAAGTCAAGCTATTTGCCACTGCCCATGAATTTATATATATGCTTACCTCAGGCCACTTTTATCCCTTCCCAAAGTGGATGGCCAGGTATACTGGCCAAAACTCTGCCCTTGGAAGATTTTCCCTTACCACCATCTTTCAAACCACTCCTCCCCCAAATAGGCCTCGAATGCAGGTGAAGTCCATTTAGGGCTCACATCAACATACTGAGTTGACCCATTTATGACCCAAGCCTGTAGGTTTTCCTCTTCCATCAACTGGGCACAGGGAAGTCCCCCAAGATGCCATAGGTAGAGCTTTGGAGGTGCCCCAGAGGTGACAGCACCTGTTCATGCAGTTCACTCTCTGTGCCTCCTCAAGCTGATTCTAGATACACCATTTCTGTCTTACAACAGATTGTTTGAGGTTTCGCTTGACACTTGGTCCATGATGAATGCCTCTGGCCATCTAGACACTCAACGTCCACCAGATATTCAGTCTCTGCAGGGCCCAGTAGCTCACCAGAGTTGCTTCTCTTTTTTTTTGCGGGGCGGGGGGGACGGAGTTTCACTCTTGTTGCTCAGGCTGGAGTGCAGTGGCGCGACCTCAGCTCACTGCAACCTCTGCTTCCTGGGTTGAAGCTATTCTCCTGCCTTAGCCTCCTGAGTAGCTGGGATTACAGGCATCCACCGCCACGCCCAGCTAATTTTTTTATTTTTAGTAGAGACAGGGTTTCACTATGTTGGCCATGCTAGTTTCAAACTCCTGACCTCGTGATCCACCCGCCTCAGCCTCCCAAGGTGCTGGGATTACAGGCGTGAGCCACTGCACCTGGCTGCTGCTTCTTTTTTTTTTTTTTTTGAGACAGAGTTTTGCTCTTGTTGCTCAGGCTGGAGTGCAGTGGTGTAATCTCGGCTCACTGCAACCTCCGCCTCCTGGATTCAAGTGATTCTCCTGCCTCAGCCTCCCGAGTAGCTGGGACTACAGGCATATGCCACCATGCCTCACTAATTTTGTATTTTTAGTAGAGATGGGGTTTGCCATGTTGGCCAGGCTGGTATGGAACTCCTGACTTCAGGTGATCTGCCTGTCTCAGCCTCCCAAAGTGCTGGGATTACAGGCATGAGCCACCGGGCCCAGCGAGATGTGCATTTTGAATGGTATATATTGTCAGCTGCAGATGGCATGGAATCCTATGCAAGTGGATCCAGAATCCCAGGAGTCTGTTATGGGTTGAATTGTATCCCCCCAAAAATGTACATGTTGAAGTCCTAACTCCCAGTACCTCAGAATGTGGATTTTTTTTTTTTGAACTAGAATTATTGCAGAAGTAATTAGTTAAGATAAGGTGATACTGGAGTGGACCTACCCAATATGACTTGTATCCTTCTATGAAGGGGAAATTTGGAAACACACACACGCACACAGAGAGGCGGATAGACAGAGAGAGAGAGAATGCCACGTGAAGATGAAGACAGAGATCAAGGCGAGGCTTCTACATGCCAAGAAACACCAAAGACTGCTGGTAGCCATGAGGAGCTGGAGGAGAGGCCTGGAGCAGATCCTCCCTGCACAGCCCTTAGAAGGAAGCAACCCACCAACATCTTGATTGTGGTCTTCTAGCCTCCAGAACTGAGAAACAGTAAGATCTTATTGCGCGAGTCCCCCACTTATGGTACCTCCTGGCAAACTAATACAAAGTCAATGTGTGATTCTACTGCTGGTGCTTGTCAGAGACTCCACAGGCAGCTTTTTCAATCACAGATATCTCTAGTATCAAGGAATCTTAAAAAATGTAAGACAGATTGCCAGGGAATTGCTTCTAATTTAAATGCTAGTTTTTTATAATGTTGTTTTCAGTTACCTGAGTAATTACAATTTTAAAAATGTAAACACACCCTTTCCCCTTATCTTTTTTACAGCACTTAATGTGTGTGCCTCTTCCTTCATTTATTCCACAGGTGCTTATTGACCACCTCCTATGACCCCAGTAAGAGGTGAAGCCTGCTGGGCTTCTGGGACGGGTGGGGACTTGGGGAACTTTTCTGTCTAGCTAAAGGATTGTAAATGCACCAATCAGCGCTCTGTGTCTAGCCAAAGGTTTGTAAACGCACCAATCAGTGCTCTGTGTCTAGCTAAAGGTGTGTAAACACACCAATCAACACTCTGTAAAAACAGACCAATCAGCACTCTGTAAAATGGACCAATTAGCACTCTGTAAAATGGACCAATCAGCAGGATGTGGGTGGGGCCAAATAAGGGGATAAAAGCTGGCCACCGGAGCCAGCAGTGGCAATGCAGTGGGGTTGCCTTCCACACTGTGGAAGCTTTGTTCTTTTACTCTTTGGATCAGCACTGTCTTTATGAGCTGTAACACACCACAGAGGTCTGCAGCTTTACTCCTGAAGTCAGCAAGACCAAGAACCCACTGGGAGGAATGGAGAACTCTGGACACACCACCTTTAAGAGCTGTAATACTCACTGCAAAGGTCTGCGTCTTCACTCCTAAAGTCAGCAAGACCACCAACCTACCAGAAGGAAGAAACTCCAGACACATCTGAACATCTGAAGAAACAAACTCCGAACACACCATCTTTAAGAACTGTAACACTAATTGTGAGGTTCCGTGGCTTCATTCTTGAAGTCAGTAAGACCAAGAACCCACTGGAAGGAACCAATTCTGGACACACCAGCATGGTGTATGGAAGGATATGCAAACACAGCAGTGAACCAAATAGACAGGGTCCCTTCCTCAGGAGACAGAGAATACACCATCATCAACCAGGTTGCTCAGAAGAATTTTCTGTGGACGAAAGCAATTGTTCTTCAACACTCTTAGTCTCATTTAAAGCTAAATTGCCTCCAATTCTTTCTGGAAGCAAAGCAATAAACACAGAGAGTGACCATTGTGGGAAAATGCTCATAGTATACTGTTAAACTGGAAAAAAAAAAAGTACGGCACCAAATTATAGGTGGTATGATCTCAGATGTGTTAAAAATTCACTGTTCAGGGCCCATATTCAAACTGGGACACACTGGCAGATCTATGCTTATTGCTAAAATACTGGAATATTCCTGGGTCACTTGAAGATGCTGCTGTCTTGAACCATCTTAGGATTTGCCGCCCCACCCATCTCTACCTTTCTTCTGGTTTCCACCTGGCTTCCCAGGCATCCAGCGACTGAAGGATTAACATGGGGCCCAGCGGGGGCCTGCAGGGTTCAGCTCCACACACAGCTGAGGTCTGTTCTCATTGTTTTGCTGCCTGTGCCATATTTGAGTTCATTCCCTAAGAACTCTACTATCTTGGATTCTTCAGTCAGCCACAAAGTTGCATTTTTATTACTCAAAAACATTGCCAAGGCATAAAACTAAGATAAATCATTATTTTTCTTGCAAATAATTGGGGCTCTTTGGTTTTTCATTCCCTCTGCTTTCCCATCCTCTTCCAGTCATTCACTTAGTTCAAATACTCATGATGTTTAGAAATATTTCATGTTTGTGAGTGCAAGCATACTAATTATTCTATCCTGTCAAATAATCTCATTGTAGAACGTAAAAAGCATTTTAAAAATTTTTTTCCATTAAAGACAAGGGTATTTGGCAATTATTATTCAAGAAAAAAGTCACCTTAGCTTCTAATATCAATAGAACTGTATTTTCAATCGAAAAAGCTTCCTGTTAATGAATGATAGTCAATTTTCTACACCAACTTTTAAATTTTTTTGGTTTTATAGAAATACCATAAAGGAAAATGTACCTGAATGATCTGTGCTTCATCTTTGAAATTCATGAACTCCTAGGAAACCCAGATCCACAGCTGCCCTAAATGTTTACCCTGTGCTGGGAGAAGGGAAGATTCGCAGGTAACTTCAGACTCCAGGGCGCCAGCATTTTCTTTCTGAAGTGCGGCCCTTTCATCTGACTTGTTTGCTGGGACTTTTCAGAGAGGTTCGCGTCCTGATTCCTGTCCAAGTGTTGTCAGGCTGTTAGGAAGAAATCTCTGAAAAGGCCTCCGCCTGCTGAGCCGAAGTGTGGGCTTCACAAAAGTCAATACTTTCAACTTTTCCTTTGCCCTGGGTGTGTTTAAAGGGGCTTTCCAGTACAGATCCCTTTTATTGCAGGTGAGGGTTGGTAGAGAAATAATAGCTTTCATCTTTTGTCCTTCTGCGAAGAATAAAAATGAAGAAACAGGGATGCCCTCTTTTAGGCTTTACGAGATCCTTTTTTTAGATGGATTTATCTGATTAAAAATCTTGAATAGAAATGCTATGACAAAAAAATAGTAGACCATATTAGTGCAAACATCAGGTCTCCTTGAGCTCATTAATTTTAATTCACTTTGTTCTTAATAATGAGAGTTTTAGCCCCTAGGCTTTCGTGATGGGTAGTCCTGGTCCTATGAAGAGGGAGTGAGTCAAGTGATAAGAGGTTCATTACCATCTGGAGCCTAAGACGGCTCCTGGTGCATAGAAGATGCTCGATAAATATCTATGGAAGGAATAGCAAATGAGAAATGAACAGATCAGGCCTGATGGCAAGAGGCCCGAGTTCTAGAACGGAAACTAATTTAAGTGGCTCTCTTTCTGAGTTGCTAGCCTGATTTCTTGAATCTGTGAAACAAATAGATTGGATTTGATGATAGCACCCTTTAAATTTAGTATTTTCTTGTGTCAGGGACAGGTCTTTTTCAATATGCTATTGCTTAGTCAAGTCTTAAAGATTTCATTTTTTTAACAAAGCTTTTTGCAACCGCTCTAAAACTGCCTTAAAACAGCACTAAATCAAAGAATCTTTACACTTGAGGCTATATTCTGGACAGAGTAAATAGCTTTCCAAAGTTTATATATGGAATACCTTTCTTTTAATATAGTATTTGATAACAGTATTTTCCTAGACATCAGAATTTCTATACTAAATTCTTCCTACCATTAACAGAGATGATTTTTAAATGGGATAGCAAACTGCCTTTCTATTGATAGGGTGAGATGTTGCTATGATTTCAATGTTTGTGCCTGCCCCCAAACTCATACATTGAAATCCTAACTCTCAAACTGATGGCACTAGGAGGTGGGACTTTAGGAAGGTGATTAGGTTATGAACCCTCATGAGTGGGATTAGTGCCCTTATAAAGGAGGCCCCAGGGAGCTACAAAGCTCCTTCCACCACATGAAGATACATCAAGGAGGTGCATCTCTGAAGTCAAGAGCGACCTTTACCAGACACCAAATCAGCCAGCACATTGATCTCGGACGTCCAGCCTCCAGACTGTGAGCAATATATTTCTGTTGTCTATAAGCCACTCTTTTTTTTTTTTTTTTTTTTTTGAGACACAGTCTCGCTTTGTCACCAGACTGCAGTGCAGGTGGCGCGATCTCAGCTCACTGCAACCTCCACCTCCCAGGTTCAGGCGATTCTTCTGCTTCAGACTCCCAAGTAGCCGGGACTACAGGCATGCGCCACCACGCCCAGCTCATTTTTCTATTTTTAGTAGAGATGGGGTTTCACCATTTTGGCCAGAATGGTCTCAATGTCTTGACCTGGTGATCTGCCTGCCTTGGTCTCCCAAAGTGCTGGGATTACAAGTATGAGCCACCATGCCTGGCCAAGCCACCCATTTTAGATTTTGTTATAGTAGCCCTGATCCGACTAAGCCAGCTATATTCAATGGTTAAGTTTGATTTCTGGGTTGCATATTCTTGGACTCCTTATTTTCTGTTGCCATGTGCATAAGCAAACATAGTCTAGTTGGTTACAACGGTGCTGGACACGTGAGGCTGTGACTCAACAGTCACCAGTATTTGCCTTCCACTCTGAGAGGTGAGGACCATTAGGGCTAATAATGTGGCCCAGTCAGCTATTTTCCTGCCATAATTGTATTTCCTTCTTATTTTAAAAGAATTTCAGACTTATAGCAAAAGCACAAGAATAGTACAAAATGTACAAAACAGTACAAAAATGAATTCCCATAAGCCATTCACCCAGATCCAAATGTCACCATTGCTTCTTCATTATCATATTGCATATATGAATGTATGTCCGTGTGCATATATTTTTCCTTAAAATATTTGGGAGGAAGTTATAAGCATGATGTCACCTACCCCTAAATACCTCAGTGTGTATTATCCTAAAATGAGGCATTCTGGTAAGTAACCACACTATAATGATCAAAATCAGAGAACTGACGTTTATAAAACACTACTATTGAACATACAGACATTTTCCACATTTTGCTAATTGTCTCATTACTATTCCTCCTAGAAAATACTTTTGGCCGGGCGCAGTGGCTCATGCCTGTAATCCCAGCACTTGGGAGGCCGAGGCGGGTGGATCACGAGGTCAGGAGATTGAGACCATCCCGGCTAACAGGGTGAAACCCCATCTCTACTAAAAAATACAAAAAAATTAGCTGGGCGTGGTGGCAGGCGCCTGTAGTCCCAGCTACTCGGGAGGCTGAGGCAGGAGAATGGCGTGAACCCAGGAGACAGAGCTTGCAGTGAGCCGAGATCACACCACTGCACTCCAGCCCGTCGATAGAGCAAGACTCCATTTAAAAACAAAAAGAAAATACTTTTAATTTTTTGTTCTGTTTCATGATTGAGTCCAGAATCACACATTGCACTTAGTTGCTACGTCTCTTTAGTTTCCCTTAAGCTGCCACAGTTTCTCATATTTCTTTGTCTTTCATGACCTTGACGTTTTTGAAGGATACAGGCCAGTTATTTTGTAGAAAGCCCTTCTGTTTGGATTTGTGTGATGATTTCTCGGAATTCCATTTGGGTTCTGCATTCTTGGCAGGAACCCCCTGGAAGTAGAAGTGATGTGTGCTTCTCAGTGCTTCATATCATGAGGCAGCTGGTGACTCTTTGTCCCTTTACTGGTGATGTTTGGTTCCTTTGAAAGGTGCTGTCTGCTATGTTTCCCCATTGTGAAGTGACTGAGGCTTTTCTTCATAATTGATATAAATAATTGATTATACATTCTGTCTTTAATCTGTTTCCCTCCTGGCAGTTTACTATAGGCAATCAGGAGAAGCCATGCTGCACTTTGCTTAAAGATTTCTTCTGTCAAATACCCTCTTTCATTACTTGTTAAGTTCCTCCTTTCACAAAACATTAGGACCCAACACAATTCAGCTGAGGTCTTTGCCACTTTATAACAAGGATGGCCTTTCCTCCTGTTTCTAATAACATGCCCCTCATTTCTGATACCTCATCAGAATTGCCTTTATTGACCATATTTCTACCAACATTCTGAGTATAACCACTTAAGTAATGTCTTAGAAGATTGAGGCTTTTTCTACAGTTCTCTTCTTCTGAGCCCTTATGAGAATCGCCTTTTTATTTTTTGAGACGGAGTCTCGCTCTGTCACCTAGGCTGGAGTGCTGTGGCGCGATCTCGGCTCACTGCAAGCTCCACCTCCTGGATTCATGTCATTCTCCTGTCTCAGTCTCCCGAGTAGCTGGGACTACAGGCACCTGCCACCACGCCTGGCTAATTTTTTTGTATTTTTAGTAGAGATGGGGTTTCACCGTGTTAGCCAGGATGGTTTCGATCTCCTGACCTTGTGATCTGCCCGCCTCGGCCTCCCAAAGTGCTGGGATAACAGGTGTGAGCCACTGCGCTCGGCCTTATGAGAATCGCCTTCTATGACCCAACAATAGCAATACAAGCTTTTTCTAATGTGCACCTCAGTGTTCTTCCTGCTTCTGCTAATTATACAATTCCAAAGCCACTTCTACATTTTTAGGTATTGTTTTACAGCAGCACCCCACTTCTTGCTATCAATTTCCATCTAAGTCCATACAAGCTGCTAAAACAAAACATGTTAGTTTGAGAAATTTATAAACAACAGACATTATTTCTCACAACTGTAGAGGCTAGGAAGTCCAACAGCAAAGCACCAGCAGATTCAGTGTCTGGTGAAGGCCTGTTCTTCACAGATGGTGCCTTCTATGTGACCTTATAAGGGAAAAGGGTCAAGTCTGTGTCCTCACATGGCAGAAGGGACAAGGACTGCTTCTCTCAACTTCTTGTTAAGGGCAAAAATCACATTCATTAGGACAGAGCCCTCATTACTTAATCACTTCCCACCTCTTACTACTACTGAGACCCTACCTCTTAATACTATTGCACTGGTGGTTAGGTTTCAACATCTGAATTTGTGGGGGACACCAACATGCAGACTACAGCAGTTGGTCTAGTAAGAATCTGCCTACCCTTGCTGTCTCTTTTTTGTAATTTTCCATCCAATGACCTCTCACTCTGTTCAATGGCCAGAAATCCCCAGTTGTCTTTGCTGAATTCAGAGTTGAGCCCAATCTCTCTTCCCTATCTCAACAGTCTTTAATAAAGTCTTCCTTCAGTGGGACTCATGCTATCTTCATTGGGTCTGGTTGTTTGGAAAGTTAAGTCTCTTATCAGAGTAACGGTTTTTCTTTAAAATTTTAGAGTTATCATTTTGGCTATTGAATAACTTATAGTGACCTGGGACTCTATTTTCTGATATCCAGTGTTTTTAAACCTTTGATATTTGACAGACCTCTCAAGATCAAATTCTAAGTTAAAAAAAAAATTAAGTTGCCTAAAGTCCAAAAAGACATATTCAGCTTATTTAAAGTACTAAAATCATGCGGTAAACATTGTCAAATATAGTGTTTAATTTTCTTTGGGTTACATTTATATAAATGTGTTATTAGTATGTATTACAAAATTGTATAAGATTATAAGAGTCCTATAATTTTGATATGCCTCAGTATATGTTATCAGTAATAATTATAATTGTTATGTTAAATTATTGTGTGTCACAGAGGTAACAAATTTCCTTGTCAATTTTTTTTTTCTTTTTTTTTTTTTTGAGATAGAATCTTGCTCTGTCACCCAGGCTGGAGTGCAGTGGCGTGATCTCGGCTCACTGCAAGCTCCACCTCCTGAGTTCACACCATTTTCCTGCCTCAGCCTCCCAAGTAGCTGGGACTACAGGCACCTGCCACCATGCCCGACTAATTTTTTTGTATTTTTAGTACAGATGGGTTTTCACTGGGTTAGCCAGGATGGTCTTGATCTCCTGACCTCGTGACCCGCCTGCCTCAGTCTCCCAAAGTGCTGGGATTTCAGGCGTTAGCCACTGCACGCAGCCCAATTGTGTTTTTAACTGTGGCTGCCCTAAAATATTTTTGTCATCCAAGGCAATTGTCTCATTTTGATCCACTTTGGAAGGTGGTTTTATAATCAGCTATAAAACTTTGACAGGTACTCTTGAATGCAAGTTTCTGATAACTTTGGAGATGATGATGACACAAGTGTAAAGGGGAAAAACTTTCAGGACTCTCATGGAGAGCTGAAATGTTCATGGATATGAAGCAGAACAAAAGTTAACTGAATGGACTGAACTAATAAAAGACTGAAGTAACCTTTTTTTTTTTTTTTTTACTTTTTTGCTTAAAATGTTGCTGATCCTTTTTCTTATCCAGAACTAAGAAAACTTATCTTTTGAGCTATTTACAGCCTTTAACAATTGGTAAAATATACTCCTGTGAACAAAATTTGGAGCATATTTCTTTCTACCTGACTTCTCCAGAATTTGGGAACTATTTGTGAGTATTCTCAATTTATGGTAGTATAGACATTTGCATAAGCATGATAAGAATCTGTTTTCTTTTGTAACAGGACACGATTGTAGAAACTGGTTATTTTACCAAGGCTTTGACTGGAATGGCATGCTTTCTTTAAGGAATCAAAGTTGATTTACAGAGCCAATAAAAGCCTCTTGGGAAATCTGGCCTCATATTTTCTTTACACAGTCCCTGTATAAGGTTTCTGACCTGTGATAAGTAAAGAATGGCACTTTCTAACAGGCCGAGGAGCCCCAAGTTATCTTGGCACCTCAAGAGAAGAATAATTTACCTAACTCATAGGTATTTGACGGTATAAACCCATGGCAGGGCTCAGCTTTTAAAAAGTCTTATCTGAGATTCCTTATAGAACAGAGCTCCATCAAAGCCAATTTAAAAATCCTATATGAAAAATAATTATTTTTGCTGTGCTTTATGCAAATAACCAGGCCAAGTACAATAAAAGTTTATTTTGCAAACCAATCAGTCCTATCATTATTTGTTTTTAATAAAAATGATGATTGGGGGGCCGGGTGCGGTAGCTCACGCCTGTAATCCCAGCACTTTGGGAGGCCGAGGCAGGTGGAACACGATGTCAGCAGATCGAGACCATCCTGGCTAAAACGGTGAAACCCCATCTCTACTAAAAATACAAAAAATTAACCGGGCGTGGTGGCGGGCGCCTGTAGTCCCAGCTACTCGGGAGGCTGAGGCAGGAGAATGGTGTGAACCCGGGAGGCAGAGCTTGCAGTGAGCCGAGATTGCGCCACTGCACTCCAGCCTGGTCAACAGAGTGAGACTCTGTCTCAAAAAAAAAAAAAAAGAAAAGAAAAAAATGAGGATTGGAAAGAGAAAAATTATACTTAAAAAAGACTTATAGGCTGGGCGTGGTGGCCCATGCCCATAATCCCAGCACTTTGGGAGGCCACGGCAGTTGGATCACGAGGTCAAGAGATTGATACCATCCTGGCCAACATGGAGAACTCCCATCTCTACTAAAAATACAAAAATTAGCTGGGCGTGGTGGTGTGCATGCACCTGTAGTCCCAGCTACTTGGGAGACTGAGGCAGGAGAGTTGCTTAAACCCGCGAGGTGGAGGTTGCAGTGAGCCCAGATCTTGCCACTACACTTCAGCCTGGCAACAGAGTGACACTCCATCTAAAAAAAAACAAAAGTTACAGTACACCTTTTGTTAGCTGTTCTTGAATTTTTCCTTCAGTTTGGACTAAATCCTAAATTCTCTGTGGGCTAAAAGTCCCCAAACTAATGCTTTCAAATCTTTACTTTTGAAACTGGGAATTGCACTCCTCACCCTAGTATTCATTATCTACCTGATAGTCACTGTTCCCTCAAATGCAGTACTAAAACTATAGATGTTAATACTAATGCCTTTGCCATGCGAGCCTTGGAACCCCAGCCAGGCCTGCATGAGTACGCTCACACAGTTGCAAAGCAGTTCCATTTCTCTCACTTTGGGGTTAACGCCTACCCCTACTATGCCTCAGATCGGCAGGAAGAAGTTAGAGCAGCCTTCGCCCTTTTTCAATTTTCATTAGCCAACACCTTAAGATTAAGGTGTTATAAAATCCAAAAGGAGTCTGGGAGCGGTGGCTTATGGTTATAATCTCAACATTTTGGGAGGCCAAGGCAGGTGGATCACTTGAGGTCAGGAGTTCGAGACCAGCCTGGCCAACATGGTGAAACCCCATCTCTACTAAAAATACAACAAATTAGCCAGGCGTGGTGGTGCATGCCTGTAGTCCCAGGTACTCGGGAGGCTGAGGCAGGAGAATTGCTTGAACCCGGGAGGTGGAGGTTGCGGTAAGCCAAAATCGCACCAAAAACAAACAAACAAAAAAACCAAAGGGAGGGATTGAAACAGCCACTGCAAAATTGTAACTGGGACAGTGAAGGAGATCTGACCTAACCAACTCCATCTTGCTTCTAACCTCCAAGCTGTCCTTGTTCTTTCCCAGGCATAGGCTGAACTAACTTTGGGAGGAACTTAGCTTAGTGTTTATAGTTTACAACCAAGAGAATAACAGTCCTTTCCAAAAACAAACCTCCTTCTTGCCTAGGGACTAGACTGCCTTTGTAGGACTCATAAATTAGCCACAAGATTAGAAACTATGGTTTAGGAGTCATGCAGTTGGAGGCTAGAAGATTCTGACCCTCCCAAAACTGCTCCTAAGATCAGCGCTTGAGATACATTGCAGACCCTGCACTTGATGGATCAGCTGGCCCCACCCAGATGGATAATCGGGCTCATCTGATCTTGTGGCCACCACCCAGTAACTGACTCAGCGCAAGAAGACTGCTTTGACTCCCTGTGATTTCATTTCCAACCTGACCAATCAGCACTCCTGACTCACTGGCTGCCCCCGGCCCAGCAAGTTATCCTTCAAAACTCTGATCCCTGGATGCTCCTTGGGGAGACTGATTTGAGTAATAATAAATCTCCTGTCTTAAATTAAAAAAAAAAAAAGTATTTACTGTTTCAACAACTTTAAGAACATTTTTTTTTCATTAATACCACCTAGAAATCAGTGACTGTGTTTTATTAGAATAATTTCTGGTGCTTTATCATGTCTTTGATTATTTAAGACAACTAAATCTTCTCACCTTAAAAAAAAAGCTATTTTTTTCTTACAATCATAGAATCTCCTATGGCTATTTTTATTGTCAGTTTAATTAAATGGATAATTAAGTGTTGTTTCACAGTGACCTGTGATCCTATTTAATCAAGTGTTCAACGCTTTTGGCATTTTTGACAACTTCCCCAAATGAAATTCTAAATGAAATTTTTTTAACTTTGAACTGACTTTGAGATTTTCCAAAGGGTCCCTAGAAGATCTCAAAATATTTGTTCTCTCATTTTGTAAAAAGAGAGATGTTAAACTAATTAGGTTTATTCAATATGTTAAATTGCACGGGAGGCACTCACTGTCAAGAAAAGATACTTAACCTTCCTTAGGTGGTATTTGCATGGATAAATGTTATTATTTCAGAAACTGAATAAAGTTCCTAGAAATTTGTCAATGCCCTTGATAACCATAATATGTCCTGGTATAATATTATCAGTCATGATTACAGTTATGATTTTAAATGTATGCCACAAAAAAACTGATTTTCCTTGTTAACAGAATTAAAATAAACCTTCATCCGATCTTTACCATGGCCATTTTTGCCTTTTTGTCATTCGCAGTTATTATTTTACTCTGGTACTTTCCTGAAAGCTCTAGCGATCAGTTATTAGCCAGAATACTTCATCTTCAACAAAAAGGACTGTTTCTCTAAGATCCATGGAAAGGCCTGTAACAGTACTGTGGGGTACAGGCTTCTGATGACATTGCTTAAATAACTTTAATCTCATACCACTGCCCTGAGGAAGGATTTCCAGAACTCTAGTTGAAAAGCTGATGGGTTCATGACACTGCTAATCCAAGATCAAGCAAGGCCAGAATTAATCATATGGAACTGAGGTGACTGATAAACAATGGTTATGATTTTTTAAATGGCCTTTGTTTGAAACATTGCTGGTTCTTGAATGTTCTATGTCCTGAATATAAGGGAAGAAACATAGATTAGAACAAGGAAACAAAATAAAAACAATGATTAATGTTCAGAGCAGAATATAAACCCAGTTTTTTTAAGTCCAGAGGGCAAGCCAGTCATGAGGTTTTCTAGATGTGGGGTTCCATCTTTAGTGAGGATGGTAGTGGTATGTTGGAGTCATGGTTATTTTCTGGAGCAGAGCCTGGAAGATGCAAGTGTTCTGGAGAAATAATTGAAAACCCCAAACTGTTGTGATACATCCTTTGATTTCTCTTTTCTCTTAAGCTATCCACAAATGATAACAATTTAATAAACTTTCATAAGTAGAAATGAAAAATTTATCTTTTTCTCCCTGCTTCCTCTAAAATTTGTCAATTCTTATTGAATATTCCTATTCTCATGGCAATATAGTTGTTTGCATAAATTCAAGAAGAATCTGTTCTCCTTAAAAAAGGACATTATTTGGAAAAATTGATTATGTTACCAAGACTTTGACTAGAAGGTCATATTTGAGACTGATGTGCACAGAATTAGACGTGACCAGACATTTTTAAGAAACTAAGGTTGACTTGATGGAGCCAATGCTTACAAAGCTCTGCTGAAATAATTGACCTGGTGCCTTACCTGACTTACAGGGTTCCAGGCTTACAGGTGAGTAAGATGGGTTACTTACTCGCAGGCCCAGGGCCTTAAGATGTTTTGGAAACCTCAAGAAGAGCAACAGTTTTAGGGTCTGAATGGATCCCCACATTTCTCTATCTGAAACTACAGATAGTATAGGTGTAGTCTTTTTTTTTTTTTTTTTTTTTTTTTTTTGAGATGGAGTCTCACTCTGTCCCCCAGGCTGGAATGCAGTGGTGCAATCTCGGTTCACTGCAAACTCTGCCGCCCAGGTTCATGCCATTCTCCTGCCTCAGCCTCCCGAGTAGCTGGGACTACAGGCACCCGCCACTACGCCCGGCTAATTTTTTTGTATTTTTAGTAAAGACGGGGTTTCACCGGGTTAGGCAGGATGGTCTTGAACTCCTGACCTTGTGATCCACCCGCCTCAGCCTCCCAAAGTGCTGGGATTACAGGCGTGACCCACCACGCCTGGCTGTGTAGGTGTAGTCTTAAAACTCTAATCTGAGATTCCTTATAAAAGTTCCAGCCAAGCAAACCTAAAAAGGCTCCTGTGGTCAATTATCATTCTTGCTGGACTTATGTAAATGATCAGGCCAAATTTAATGAGACAAGACTTATTTTGTAAACAAGAGTAATCTTACTTTGTTTATCTTTGATCTCAGTGGTAGTAATTATACAGAGAAATTTTATGTTTCAATGGCAAACTATAACCCAGTTGTGTGAGTTATCAGACTCTAGTCTTGTTCATTGTCTTTGAGCAATTTTTTTACCTCTTTAAAAGCTGGATCCTGCCGGTCAGGCACGGTGGCTCACGCCCGTAATCCCAGCACTCTGGGAGGCCGAGGCCGGGGAATCACCTGAGGTCGGGAGTTCGAGACCAGCCATGACCAACATGGAGAAACCCCATCTCTACTACAAATACAAAATTAGCCCACAATCCCAGCTACTTGGGAGGCTGAGGCAGGAGAATCGCTTGAATCTGGGAGGTGGAGGTTGCAGTGAGCCGAGATTGCACCACTGCATTCCAGCCTGGGCAACAAGAGTGATACTCAGTCTCAAAAACAAACAAACAAAACAAAAAACAAAACAAAACCTGGATCCTGCCATCTTACATATTTTGTCAGTAATCAGTATTTCCAATTTTCCTCCCACTCTACTGACTTGACGTCACTGAGAACTAAAACTGATTCCTTCTCAAAGCCTTGCAAGCTGAAGCTGGATGGCTAGACAGAAACTTCAAAAGACTTATCACAACACGTGGGTCTTTCAAATATTTCCCCAGAACACCTGCATCTTCCAGACTGTGCTCTAGGAAATAACCATGATGGCAACACTACCTACCACTACCATCCTCACTAAAGATAGCTGGAGCCCAACATCTAGAAAATTTCATAACTGGCTTACCCTCTAGACTGGGTTTATCGTCTGCTCTGAACATTAATCATTGTTTTTGTTTCCTTGTTCTAATCTATGTTTTTCCCCCTTTTACAGATCTCTCATCTTACAATTTCTAACTCAAATCATCTCCCCACAGCAATCAACTTAGCTTCTTTTTTTTGTTAATGAAATTTCTAGGGAAGTTTCAGATGGAGAAATGTGTGGACCATTCAGGCCCTAAAAGTTGGTATAAAGATTATTTTACTGTGAAAATATTTGATCTAAGAAAGACGCATCAAGAAATTTTATTTGAACTTCCCTTATTTCACTAAAGCAGAGCCCCCAGAAAATACAGCTGCCATTGGCCTCCCTCTGAGGAAGTTTCCTGTAAATTCCACTACTGTAGAGACAGATTGCCCATTCTCATAAGCATCCAAAAGCCCAAAAGAACCTTCCACAACTTCCTACTGAAACTCCAAAATCTCCCAACACATTTTGTTAAGTGGATCTATAAACCTTTATTTCTATTTAGTGAGTTACTCTAAACCTTGTCTTTTCTCCTGTTAACCTGTTGTTATCAGTTAATTTGCAGGTCTTCAAACACAGGACCGACATTGAATGAGGAAAAGCTTTCCTTCCAACATAGACAATACGACTACCTGTAGAACATCATTTTGAATGTACAAAAAATTATTAAGCAGATTTAGCAAGTTTTCAGGACATGAGATCAATTGCAGATATCAACTATATTTCCATATATTAGCAACAATCAGAAACAAATGAAAAAATCACCATTTACGATATTATCAAAAAACACAAGACCTTGCACAGTGGCTCATGCCTGTAATCCCTACACTTTGGGAAGCTGAGGTGGGAGGATTGCTTGAGCCCAGGAGTTCAAGACCAGCCTGGGCAACATAGTGGGACTCCGCCTCTACAAAGAATTTAAAAAATGAATTGGGCATGGTCATGTGTACTTGTAGTCCCAGCTACTCAGGAGGTTGAGGTGGGAGGATAGCTTGATCCCAGGAGGGTCGAGGCTTCAAGATGAGCCATGATCACACCATTGCACTTCAGCCTGGGAGACAGAGTGAGATCCTGTCTCAAAAAAAAAAAAAAAAAAAAAAGAAGAAAAAAAGAAAAACAAAATAAAAAAACAAATACTTAGGTTAAAATCTAACAACAGTTATATTTTTTTTTTTTGAGATGGAGTCTCGCTCTGTTGCCCCAGGTGGAGTGCAGTGGCAAGATCTCTGCTCACTGCAAGCTCTGTCTCCCGGGTTCATGCCATTCTCCTGCCTCAGCCTTCCAAGTAGCTGGGGCTACAGGCGCATGCCACCACGCCCGGCTAATTTTTTGTATTTTTAGTAGAGATGGGGTTTCACTGTGTTAGCCAGGATGGTCTCAATCTCCTGACCTTGTGATCGGCCCGCCTTGGCCTCCCAAAGTGGCAGGCGTGAGCCACTGCGTCTGGCCAGAGAAATTTTAAAAGACCTAAATGTTAATGGGTCAGAAGATTCAATATGGTTAAAATGTCAATTCTCCCCAAATTCATCTGTAGAGTCAACACAATCTCAATCAAAATCCCAGCAGTATTTTTTTGTGCAAAATGAGAAGTCGACTCTAAGATTTAAAAGGAAATCTGAAGAATCTAGAAGATACAAAATAACCTTGAAAAATAAAGTTGTAGGACATAAACTATCTGATTTCATCACTTATTTATATAGCTACAATAATCAAAACAGCATGGTGCTGGCAGCAAAAAGACAAATAGCTCAATGGAACACAATAGGAAGCCTAAAATGAAACACATACATATGCAACACAGATTTTGATGTAAGCACAAAGGAAATGCAGTAGAGACAAAAATAACTTTTTAATAAATGATGCTGGAACATTTGGATATGTATACATGCAAAAAAATGAACTTTGGTCCCTATCCCATACCGTATACAAAAATTAATTAAAAGCAGATCTTATCCTTTGAGTCCAGTAGGTTGAGGCTGCAGTGAGCTGTGATTACACCACTGCATTCCAGCCTGGGCAACGGAGTGAGAAACTGCCTGGAGAAAAAAAAAAAAAAAAGTAGAACCTAGACCTGATATACAACCTAAAGCAGTAATATTTCTAGAAGAAATCCTAGGAGAAAATATTTGTGATCGTGGAGATGAAGAATCTATCAAATACTAAACTTTTTTTACCACCTTGACCAAAAGTAATTGGTTTATATACTTCATCATATCATTTAATTCAAAATCTACAGAGATCAATGTCACTTTCTCAGTAAAAGTACGTGAGTCTTCAATGATGCCCTGAACTCACACTCCCAAGTAAACCATAACACCATATTTCCAGAGTAGAGTTTATTAGAACAATAACTGGTGATAATGATAAATATTGATCAAAGACTGAGCCTAGGAAGTGGGTTTTTTGAGGCTGCATATACTCAAGGCAATTCTTCAGAACCACAGAGGGCTCATTGGATCCTATTAAAAGCTGAGAGTGAATGAATAAACAGATAAAACAGAGACCTGAGTAGACGGTAGTCGATATTCTTTTACATGTATTCTACCTCTAGATTCCATAGAAAGAACTAAAAGTACATGAATTTCACTACCAACATCTCCATCAGTTACCAGCTGTATCACCTTGGATCAGTCAGGTAACCTCCCGCGAATCTGGTTGCTTCCGGGGCAGGGGATCCGCGGGCTGCAGGTTTGAGCCTGGTTGCCGGCAGGGTGGAGCAGCTGGAGGGCCAAGCCTTTGAGCTCCAGGGGGGGTGGCCGGGACAGTGGGTAGTGCCAGCCGATCGGCGTCCTGGGGATTGCCTGAATGTGAGGTCTGGGTTCACCCCGCGGTGACCTGAGTCCTGGGATGCCCCTACAGGGATTTGCTGCCTCAGGGATCCGAAGTCTCTTTCATTCCCTTACTGGGGATTTGAGGTCTGGAGGTACTCCTGCGGGGGTCTGAGATCTCGGGGTCACCCTGTGGGGGTCTGAAGCCTCGGGGTCCCCGCGTGGGGTCTGAGGTATCAGAGTCCCCTCCGTTGGGTCTGAGGTCTCGGGGTCCCCCATCCCCGGGATCGGAGGTCCGGCTCCCCGGAGCAGGCAGGGCGGTGCGTCTGGCCCTGAACAGTAACGTGGCGCGCCAGCCCCAGGTGGTGTCGGGCTAGGGGGGCATAACGGTGCCGAAAGTCCGCACAAAGCCGTCCGCTGGGGTCCCGCCGCGTCCGCGAGGGAATGACTGTGCCCCCTCCCCTTCCTGATCCTCAGCTCAGGTGAGCCCAGATGAGGCGCCGGGTAGCTTCTAAGTCACTAATGGAAATAGAAGGCTAATTCAGGGGTTAGGGGCCGTCGTCCTCCTTACTCCCAGGAGAAGAGAAAAACCCACGGCCCAGCAGCCAGAGGCGCGGCGAGGCGGAATCGGGCCCCCTCCCCGGGGGCTCAGCTCCCTCCAGCCTCCCGCCTCACCTACAGAGAAATCCCGGAAACGCGGATTCAGCGGAGCGCGGTGACGGCGGCGCGCTCACCCCGCGCATGCCCAGTGCCCGCGCGCGCCGCCAGGCTCGCAAGCACCGCGTAGGCCAGCTGGCCGGATCCCGCCGTCTGTCATGGCGGCCCCCATCCTGAAAGGTGAGGTACTTCCTGCTGCCTGCTCCAGCAGCGGGAGTTTGAGGACCGGCACCCCTCGTCGCGGGCGCACTCGGGGGATCCCGTGGGAGGAGCCCCGCTCGCCCCTCCCTCGCTGCCTGTCTCCCCCAGACCCCCTGCCGCCTCCTTCCTCCCCCGCTGCCTGTCCCACCAAAACCCCCTGCTCCTGCTCTCTCCCCCGCTGCCTGTCCCCCCAAAACCCCCGGCTGCCTGCTTCGTCTCCCGTGCTCCCTGTCCCCCCAAACCCCCGACTGCCTGCTTCCTCCCCCGTACTGCTTGTGCCCCAACCCCCGTGCTGCTAGTTCCCCTCAATCCCCCGCTGCCTGCTCCCTCCCCCATGCTGCCTGTCCCCCAAATCCCGCCTTTCCCCCTACCTGCTTTCACCCCTGCTGCCTTAGTCCCTGGATCTGGGGCTCACTGGCAGGCAGAGTCCTGCCCTCCGGAAGTTGGTGTGGGGCCCTCCTGGGTCTGGTCCTGTTCGACCCCCTCTGAGGCCCACCTGGAGGAGCGGCAGTTGAGTTTCTATGCTAATTGTTCCAATAATAGGAGCCGCCTTTTACTGCGGAGTCTTTGTGTGCCAGGCGCTGTGCTTAGGCTAGTATGGTATTGTCTGATTTTTTTAACCGCTCTATCAACTCTCTTATATCATTTTACAGGCAGAAACTAAGGCATCGGACGTTTAGGTGACTCTCCCTGTGTGTGGCTAGTCAGTGCTGACAGGGCCTTAGACCGGAGCTGCTGTCCTAACCAGTATATGATACCGCACGCAGTCCCACCCTCTGTGCACCTGGAAGAGCCCAGGAGAGGGGAATAGCGGACACGTGTCTTGTAGAGTTTGACCGTGAGAAAAAAGGGGCCTGTATTGTGGGGCCTGGAGTCATAAAACCTCATAGCCAAAAGTAAAGACTAGAGGCTTTATACAAAGTCTGTAATCAGATGTGGCTATTTTTCTAATGTTAGTATTTTGTTAAATTAACCTGGTTTTCTTTTAGCGTTACCCCCAATCATTGACCAACGGCACACCTGGAAAATGCTTTTAAACATCAGGTTTTGAGAAGAGGATATCCACTAGAACAGGGGTCCACTCACTATGCCCCCCAGGCCATATCTAGCCTGCTGCCTGTTTTTGTAAGGGTCTACGAGCTAAGAATGTCTTTTACATTTTTAAGTGATTTTAAAAAAAGGTCAAATGAAAAATTATATCACATTCACATTTCCTTCTCCATAAATAAAGTTTTATTGGAACACAGGCCGGCCCGTTAATATATTACCTATGGTTATGTTTGTGCCACAACCGTGAAGTTGAGTAGTTGTGGCAAATACTGTATTGGCCACAAAGCCTGAAATATTTACCATCTGTCTCTTTACAGAAAATAGGTTTCTGCACTGGAAAAATTAAGCGTAAGAATTTGGGGAAAGCAACTAATTTTACAAATGTAAACTCTCATGTATTGTATGGGTACAGTTGTTCTTTGCTTAAAATTTTAATAAATTCCACTGAAGCTATTTTGAAAAGGCTTTCAGTAGAAATTTATTTATGAGACAGAGTCTTACTCTCTTGCCCAGGCTGGAGCGCAGTGATGTGATCACATAATAGCTCAAGCAATTCTGCTTCAGCCTCCTGAGTAACTTGGGACTACAGGCACTACCACGCCCGGTTATTTTTATTTTTATTTTTTAATTTATTATTTTTTTGTAGAGCCAGGGTCTCACTATGTTGCCTAGGCTGGTCTTGAATTCCTAGCCTCAAGCAATCCTCCCGCCTCCACCTTGCAAAATGCTGGGATTACAGGCATGAGCTACTTTGTTCAGCCAGTAGAAGAAACTTCATTTACTTTTCTTATTTTTGAGGCAAGGTCTTTCTCTGCTGCCCAGGCTGGAGTGCAATGGTGCGATCATAACTCAGCTTCTACCTCCTGGGCTCTAGGGATTCTCCCACCTCAGCTTCTCCACCCTACCCACCCCCATTTCCCACCCAGTAGCTGGGACTACAGCCACTCGCCACCATTCCTGGCTAATTAAAAACAAAATTTTTTTTAGAGACAGGGTTTCACTATGTTGCCCAGGCTGGTCTCAAACTTCTGTGCCCAAGTGATCCCACTGCCTTGGCCTTCCAGAGTGCTGCAATTACAGCATGAGCCACCACACCTGGCCAGTAGAGTAAATTTTTGTTTTACTTTTTTCTTTTTTTTTTTTTGAAACGGGTCTCGCCCTGTCACCCAGGCTGGAGTGCAATGGCGCAATCTCGGCTCACTGCAACCTCTGCCTCCCGGGTTCAAGTGATTCTCCTGCCTCAGCCTCCCAGTAGCTGGGATTACAGGTGCCCGCCACCATGCTCGGCTAATTTTTTGTATCTTTTAGTAGAGATGGTTTTTCACCATGTTGGCCCGGCTGGTCTCAAACCCCTGACTTCGTGGATCCACCCACTTCCGCCTCCCACAGTGCTGGGATTACAGGCGTGAGCCACTGTGCCGGCCTCGGTTTACTCTTAAATGTAAATAGAACAAAATCTATTGGGCAGGGGATGCTGGAATTTCAAATGTATGTTTCATGTTCATATCTTGTTTTCAGATGTAGTGGCCTATGTTGAAGTGTGGTCATCCAATGGAACAGAAAATTATTCAAAGACATTTACAACACAGCTTGTGGATATGGGGGCAAAGGTAAGACACTTATTTTGCTGTTGATTCATATGACAGTCTTCTGATTGGTAAAAAGTTACATTTGCATTTTCTTATTTTGGGAGTTTTTACTTAGAATCTGGACGAAGCAATGGGTAAGCGGTGGGAGAAAAAAGAGCCAAAGTGTGAAGAATTTAGAACAGTAGGACTTTCAGAACTCAATGCCTGTGGGCATTGAGTGAGGAGGAGGAACCTAGGATGAAATGCTGGATTCTTACACTGGTTACTTGAATGCATAGTGCTATTAAGCAAAGTGAGGAATACAGGAAAAGGAACAGGTTTCTAAGGGAAAAATTGTAAATTTGGGCATACTGAAAAATATCTGTTAGATATTTGGATATACAAGTCTGGAGCTTGGAGTGTTCAAGGCTAGAGATGATGATCTAGGGGGTCAGGACCATAGGGGTCATGTGAAGTCACAGGTGTGGACATCGTCCCATGTCAGGCATGGTTAGGATGAAGAGTGGTGACAGAGGAGCGTTGTTCAGTATTCAAGGACAGGCGATGGGAGCAGGGACCCAGTGACAGAGGGAGAGAAGAATGCCAGGAGAAGGAGAAAGGAAGTGTGGAAGTCAAAGTAGGGAGTAATTTTTTTTTTTTGAGACGGAGTCTCGCTCTGTCGCTAGGCTGGAGTGCAGTGACGCGATCTCAGCTCACTGCAATCTCTGCCTTCTGGGTTCAAGCGATTGTCCTGCCTCAGCCTTCCAAGTATCTGGGACTACAGGCACATGCCACCATGCCTAGCTAATTTTTTTTTTTGTATTTTTAGTAAAGACGGGGTTTCACCATGTTGGCCAGGATGGTCTCAATCTCCTGATCTCGTGATCCGCCCACCTCGGCCTCCCAAAGTGCTGGGATTACAGGCATGAGCCACCGAGCCCGGCCAGGAGTAATTTTTTAATTGCCTTTCAGAACTAGAATGGAGTAATTTTAAAGATAGAATTTTTAAAAACTACAGAAAGTTCAAGAAAAATAGGATGGGCAAATGTACTTTGGATTTGAACACTGTAAGGTCATTGCTGAACTTAGTGCAGTTTTCAGTGAAATGGGCAGGAATCATTGAGCTATGAGGAAATGGAGATAGCAAACAATTTGCCTTATTCAAGGTTTCTTAGTATAGCCATCTCTGTTATCAGATTTACTATCACGTACTGCTTGTGTTCAGGTAGCCTCTATTTGACTTAATAATGTCCTTGATACCAAATAGGTATCTTTTGCCCACGCACACTAAACCGATCACTTTGATGACGGGTTTTACAAAAGGGAAAAGATTCATTCACGGGGAAGCCCAGCTAGGAGGCAGAAGAGTACTCACATCTTCATTCCCAAAGATAAGGCTTAGGGATATTTATCAGTTAGGGAAGTAGGGTGATCTAAGCTGTGGGGAAAAATGAAGTACATGATCTGCACAAGCATAGTTGGGATTCATGGAATGCATGTTTAGAAAACAGGCATTATTAGGAGGCCAAGGCAGGCGGATCACCTGAGGTCAGGAGTTCGAGACCAGCCTGGCCAACATAGTGAAACCCCATCTCTACTAAAAATACAAAAAAAAGCCAGGTGTGGTGGCACACACCTGTAGTCTCAGTGATTCGGGAGGCTGAGGCAGGAGAATCGTTTGAACCTGGGAGGCGGAGGTTGCATTGAGCCGAGATTGCACCACTGCACTCCAGCCTGGGCGACGGAGTAAGATTCTGTCTCCAAAAACCAAAAAAATAGGCACTAGTAGGATCCGATGGTGAAGATTTTGGCCTGATGTCAAAAGGTCATTTCTTGGGCATTTACACAGGCCTGGTTGAAGAGTTGGTGGTTGCAGCCTGTTTGAACTGTACGGGTGCTGCCCCAAGTTCCTGAAAAGTAACTTAAGCAACTGTTACCGTGGTGACATATCCACCAGAAGTTTTTATCTTATAAGGAAGCCAGTGAAGGTTATAGCATTTAGTAGTATGACTTGCAGCTATATAGAAATAAATAAATAAATAACAAAAAGCAAGTGACCAAAAGCAAGCAAGGCAGGTTAAATTTGGCAGAACTAATTTTCAGCCGTAAAGTGCAAGAGTGATGATGCTGGCAATTCAGATATGCCAGAGAAGCCTTAAGGTGCTTTAAGTGAAAAGGTGAAAGTTCTCCACTTTAAGGAAAGGAAGAAAATTGTGTGTTGAAGTTGCTAAGATCGACAGTGAGAACAAATCTTCTAATCTTGAAATTGTGAAGAACTATGCTACTGTTGCAGTCACACCAAACTGCAACAGTTACAGCCACAGTGCGTGATTTTTATTATAATACATTGCTACAATTACCCTATTTTGTTATCATTATTGTTAATCTGTGCCTAATTTGTAAATAAAACTTCATTGTATATGTATGTATAGGAAAAAACAGTATATAACCTGTTCAGTACTAGCTCAGGATTCAGGCATCCACTGGGAGGGGTTGGGGGCGGGACGCGGGCATGTCTTAGAACTTAACCCCCGTGGATAAGGGGGAACTAATGTGCTCTTATAGGGAGTTTAGTTATGAACAAATCCTGTTTATGTCCTTGTCTGGCATTTGGGAGGGGCTGACTGATAGGCTGAGTGAAAGAGAACCATTAAAAATGGGAGAAAAGATAATCGAAGGCAGGGCTAGGTTAGGGTGGAGCAAGAGAGCTGCTGTGGGTATAAAACTTAAGAGGCGCTCACCACCAGGCAAAGAGTGGGTGCTACTGAATACCCTAAGAGCCTTGTTTGACCTCCCTAATGCCTGTCTTGAGTAAGAGGTCAGTGGAGAGGAATCCGAATATAGGAGCAGGGCCTGCACTGCAGGAGGGGAGACATGCCCACTGTAATACACTGGAATGTAGGAACCCGAGGGAGTCTGCATGTTGCACATGCCTAACATTTACTTGGGATGAGGAGGAACTACTGTGAATAAGAAAAAAGCCGTTAGACAAGTGAGTTGACAAGGTGGTTTGAGGGTAGCATTAAGATCTTAGATCTTTTAGAACTTTTTGGTTTCACCTTTTATTTCAAAAATTGGCAAACAGTTCAAAGAATAGTGAATACAGATCAATAGTCGTTAACATCGTAAGATTTGGATATTTGTAGTACTCGTAATCCGGGATTATCTTAAGCCAATTTCAGGATTTGAGATGATTTAAAACCAGACTACAGGCCTGTGAGGGTCATTATAACTTCTGATTCACCCTTAATCTAGATGCAGCTCTTTGGGTCTCAGCGCAAGGTGTAGGGGTTTTACCAGACCCCCTTGTCTCTTTGAGGCTTCTCAATTTTCGTCCTGTTTAGTGTGTACTAAATTTGATAAAAGCCTTGTGGGAAGATGGTCTCAAATGCTAGACTCATCTCTCTAGGTGTCAGTCTTAATCTAGAATCTCAGCCCGGTAATTCTTAATTGCCTTGATAGCTCCCATGGACTTGATGGGGGTGTGGAAATTGAGAGAGAGAGAGAGTTATAAAAGTAATACATATTTATTGTTTAAAAAGACTAACGGGCAGTGCCATGAAATTCACAATGAAAAGAAAGAGAAACCAGCAACGCTTTGCAGTACATTTCCTTTTCCATTTTTCAAAGACAGCTACTTTCAAATCATCTGTTTCTTTTGGTATTTACCTTCATATTTCCAAGCATTGTACATATATTACTTCAGTATAATTGAATGCTATAAAAATTATGCAGATGAGTTCTGCTTCTGGAAAGGATACATAAAAGGTAAAATTTTTGACACCATGAGTGTCTGAGCATGCCTTTATTATACTGTTACCTTTGACTAATATTTTAGCTGAGTGTAAAATGCTAGCACAAATATTATTTTTCCTTGAAGGTATTTCCCATTGTTTTCTCAATTCCAGACTGCTGTTGATAAGACTGATTCAGTTGTCACTTATTGTTTGCATGTGATGTGTCTCTATCCTCTTCACCTTGATTACCCACTCTTTTAATATTTTTCCCTTTCGCCAACCATGCTGGAATTCTGTGATAAGCTTGGTGTAGTGCTGTTTTCGTTCTTGTGCTGGGCCTTTGTGGGGGATTCTTTTGATCTAGAATGCATATCCTTTAGTTTGAGAAACTTTTCTTTGATTATTTCTTTAATAATATTTTCTCCATTTTGTGTATTCCTGTATTCTTTAACTTCTGTTGATTGGCTGTTGGATCTCCTGGTCTGAGCTTCTGATGTTCTTGCCTTTTGTCTCCTGTTGTCCGTCTTCTGGTTCTTCTCTTCTACTACCAGTGAGCTTTACTCAACTTCATTGTCTGATATTTCTGTAGAAAATTTTTTTACTTATGTCATCTTTTCTTAATTTCCAAGAGCTCTTTAGGATCCTATTAAAAAATAATCTTCTGATCATGTTGCGTGAATACAGTATCTTTTTTTTTTTTTTTTTTGGAGATGGAGTCTTGCTGTGTTACCCAGGCTGGAGTGCAATGGCACAATCTTGGCTCACTGTAACCGCCACCTCCCGGGTTGAAGTGATTCTCCTGCCTCAGCCTCCCGAGTTGCTGAGACTACAGGCACGAACCTCCACGCTTGGCTAATTTTTGTATTTTTAGTAGAGACAGGGTTTTTCCATGTTGGCCAGGCTAGTCTTAAATTTCTGACCTCATGATCCACCTGCCTCGGCCTCCCAAAGTTCTGGGATTACAGGTGTGAACCACCACACCCAGTTTCCTTTGGTTTTAATTAGCTGAATTTTTCCAACTTTTTGAATGATTGCACTTATTTTCAACCTTCTTACTTTGTATTTATGCATTTAAGATTACAGGCGTCCGCCACCTTGCACCCGGATAATTTTTGTATTTTTAGTAGAGACAAGGTTTCACCAGGTTGGCTAGGCTGGTCTCAAACTGCTGACCTCAGGTGATCCACCTGCCTCGGCCTCCCAAAGTGCTGGGATTACAGGCATGAGCCACCATGCCCAGCCATGGATACAGTATCTTAAGATATGAGGTATTTTTAATTTTGGTTAAATATGTGTTCTGTTTTCTCTGTTGCCTCTGAATTTCATTTGGTTTTATTTTTTTGATGTAGAAAGCTTTTCTGAAATGTCCATTATTATCTGACTCTTTCCATCTTTAAAAATGTGGTGCCTTCTCATGGCCACATTTTCTCTTCTGTCCTCTTTATCCTTGCAGGGCTCCAACTCTATTCTTTCAGTAACACTTCAGAGGGTTTTTAGAGGGAGTAGATGTGAACTTGTGTGTATGATTCACCGTTGTAACTGGAACAGATATGTTTTAAGCAGCGTTATGCATTCCTTTGAGTGTTTCTCTGTCAGATGTTGAGAAACAGAATTGCTGGGGTAGAGGTTTTTTGATCAGTTGTAGTTAAGTTGTGAATGAACAGTAATGTACATTTTGTTTTCTGCATTTTGTCTACAGGTTTCAAAAACTTTTAACAAACAAGTAACTCACGTTATCTTCAAAGATGGCTACCAGAGCACTTGGGACAAAGCTCAGAAGAGAGGCGTAAAGCTCGTTTCGGTGCTCTGGGTGGAAAAGTAAGCAGTTTCTCTCTTACTTTTTTTCCTTAAGTATCTAGTATTGAAAATGTGTGGAGATATTTTTCACAGATCGCAGAACCAGATAAAGTTTGATTTTCATCTTTTCTCTGCCTCTTACCTCACCTAGTAATTTGAAATCCTCCAGCCTCAATTTCTGTGGTTCAAAAATGGTCATGCTATAATACCTAACTCTGCCTAGGGGGAAAAGGAGCCTGCAGGTCCTGAAGCTGGGTATGCAAGGTGGACTTAGGAAGCAAGAGGGAATGTGATGAAGCAGATTGTGTTAGTCAGCAAGCGCTGCTGTAACAAAGGACCACAGAATGGGTCGCTTGAGCAACAGAAAAGGACTTTCTCACAACTCTGGAGGCAGGAAGTCCAGTATCAAGTTGTCAACAGGGTTGGTATCTTCTTTTTTTTTTGAGACAAAGTCTTGCTCTGTCATCCAAGCTAGAGTGCAGTAGCTGGATCTTGGGTCACTGCAGCCTCAGCCTCCTAGGCTCAAGTGATTCTTATGCCTCAGCCTCCCAAGTAGCTGGGATTCATCTCAACCTTTGCCTCCTGGGCTCAAGTGATTCTCCTGCTTCTGCCTCCCGAGTAGCTGGGATTACAGGCACGCACCACCATGCCTGGCTAATTTTTGCATTTTTGGTAGAGACGGGGTTTTATCATGTTGGCCAGGCTGGTTTCAAACTTCTGACCTCAGGTGATCCACCTGCCTCGGCCTCCCAAAGTGCTAGGATTACAGGTGTGAGCCACCGTGCGCGGCCCACACAGTTTTGATTACAGTAAATTTGTAGTAAGTTTTGAAATTGGGAAGTACGAGTCCTGTAACTTGTTTTTCATTTTCAAGATTGTTTGGCTATTTTGATTTGAGTTCCTTGCTAAGATTGTTTGGCTGTCTTGATTGGGTTCCTTGCATTTCTATATGAATTTTATGATCAGTGTGTCAATTTATTCAAAAACAAAAAAGGCAGCTGGGATTTGGTAGGATTGTATTGAATCTCTAATTAGGGAAGTGTTCATAATATTTAATCTTTCAGTCCATGAAAATGGGATGTGTTTCTTTTTCAGGTCTCAAATTTCCTTCAGTGACACTTTCTAGTTTTCAGTGTACAAGTTTTTTACCCCCTAGGTTAAATTTATTCCTAACTTTTTTGTTCATTTTCATGTGAATGAAATTGTTTTCTTAATTTTTTTAAGTTGTTAGCTGTTAGTGTATAGAAATGCAGGTGATTGTTGTATGTTGATCTTATACCCTGCAAATTTGCTTAACTTGTTTATTAGTTCTAAATATATTTGTGGGTTCCTTAGCATTTTCTATATGCAATGTTGTGTAATTTTGTAAATAGAGATAGATTTACTTCTTCATTTCTAGTCTGGCCGCATGTTATGTCATGTCATGTCATGTCATGTCATGTCATGTCATGTTATTTGTTCTGGCCAGAACCTCCAGCACACTGTTGAATAGAAGTGGTGAGAATGGACGTCCTTGTGTTGTTGCTCATCTTTGGAGAAAAGCTTTCAGTATTTCATTATTTCGTATGATGGTAACTGTGGTTTGTGTAAATGTCCTTTTTTAGGCTGAGGACGTTCCCATTCCCTTCTGTTGCAGGTTGTTTGTTTGTTTCTGATTATTAAAGGAAGTTAGATATGGTTGTCAGATGTTTTTCTGCATGACTGATCATCATGTGATTTTTGTCCTTCATTATATTAATGTGGTGTAATTGAGGGGTTTTGTGTGTTGAAGCAACCTTGCAGTCCTAGGATAAATCCTACTTGGTCATGTTGTATACGTTGTCATCTTGCCTTTTTAATTGTTGGAACAGGCCGGATGCGGTGGCTCACACCTGTAATTCCAGCACTTTGGGAGGCCGAGGGGGGTGGATCACCTGAGATTAGGAGTTTGAGACCAGCCTGATCAATATGGTAAAACCCTATCTCTATTAAAAATACAAAAATTAGCCAGTCATGTTGGCGTGTGCCTATAGTCCCAGCTACTCGGGAGATTGAGACAGGAGAATCACTTGAACCTGGGAGACGGAGGTTGCAGTGAACCAAGACCACGCCATTGCACTTTAGCCTGGGCGACAAGAGCGGGGAAAAAAAAAAAAGAGTAAGGGGTCCTTCTCTGGCTTTTGTCAAGATTTTCTCATTATCTTTCACTTTCAGAAATTTAAGTGTCTCGATATGGTTTTTTAAAATTTATTTTGTTTAGATTTTACAGAACTTGTTGAATGTGTAGTTGCCTGTGTTTCTACATATGATTCGTTTTTGGCCATTATTTCTTCATCTATCTTTTCTGCCCCGTTTCCTCCTCATTTTTTCTGATTAGCTGTATATCTTTTTCTAATTAGCTGTATACCAGGGATTGGTAAAGTTTTCTGTAAAGGGACAGATAGTCAATATTTTAGGCTTTGCGGGCCATATGGTCTCTGCTCAACAGCTCAGCTCTCTTGTGGTGTGAAAGGCGTAATAGAAAATAAGTAAACAAATGCTTGTGTCTGTGTGGCAGCAAACTTTACTTATAAGTCTGGCAGGAAGCCAGGTAGTTTCCCAATCCTTTCTGTGTAATACACCTTTTAAACGTTTGCATTTGTCCATAGTGCTCTCCTTCTTCTTCATTATTGTTCAGTCTTTTTTTTTCTCCTCAGATTGATCTTTTTTCAAGTTCATTGACTTTTTTCTCCATCAAATCCATTCTGCTACTTAGTACCTTTATTTGAGATATTTTTGATTTCTAACATTTCTAGTTGGTTTTTGTATACATTCTTTTTATTTCGGTTTCATGTGAGATTTCTCACCTTTGGTTTTCCTGTCTTCGGTTATGAGTGTATTTTCTATTACCTCGATGAGTGTAGTTATAAATAGTTGTCTTAATGACCTTGTCTGATAATTTTGAGGTTGGTATCTGTTTTGTTTTTGTTTTTCTTTGATAGTGTGTCACATTTTTCTGGCTCTTCATATGGCAAATAATTTGAGGTTGTATTTTGCACGTTGTAAATACTATGTAGACTCTGGATTCTTTTCTATTGTCGCAAAGAGCATGAGGTTTTTGTTTTAGCAAGCAGTTAACTTGTCGTTAAAATGAAACGCACACTGTCATTATGTGGGCAGTTGCTTAGATGCGCCCTTTAAGCCTCAGGTGCAGGCTGATTTGTTTGCCTCAAACACATGTTGTTCAGGGGTCAGCCAGAGACTTGAACTTCTATACTCAGAATTTGGGGTTTCTCCTATGGTTCTCTTACTTCCTGAGTCCTTACCTCATTTCTCTAGTAGCCCTAGCTGCCCAGTCTCCTTCCCCTGGTCTCTTCAGCGAGAAAGGAGGCCGGAGCTTCTGCTTGAGTGCTTGCTGCGCCACACCAGCTCCCTCAGAGACTGTGGCTGCCTTTAGGGGACAGACAGAAAAAGTGGTGATGCCCAGATTCTTTTGCTTCCTTTTAAAATTTGCCTGTTCTTTCTTTTTCTTTTATTTCCCTCCAGCTTTCAAAGCTCTCACATAGTTGGTTTATTTTATTTTATTTTTCCTGTATTTCCAGGACGTATAGCTTATAGTTCACCTATATTTGTATATTGGTTTGTTAGGCATAAACAGAAATGGAACTTAGTATGTTATTTTTGAAGCATCTGATGCCAGTCTAATTCTTCTTCCCTTCAACATTATTTGATCTTTTTGGAGACTCCTTAGGGATATTTTTTATTTTATCATTTTTTTTTTGAGACGGAGTCTCGCTCTGTCGCCAGGCTGGAGTGCAGTGGCGCGATCTGTGCTCACTGCAACCTCCTACTCCCTGGTTCAGCGATTCTCCTGCCTCAGCCTCCCGAGTAGCTGGGATCACAGGCACGTGCCACCACGCCCAGCTAATTTTTGTATTTTTAGTGGACACGGGGTTTCACCATGTTGGCCAGGATGATCCTGATCTTCTGACCTCGTGATCTGCCTGCCTCAGCCTCCCAAAGTACTGGGATTGTAGGCGTGAGCCACAGCGCCCGGCCAGGATTTTTTTTTTAAGACTCATGGCTTTACTGTAATATGTTTTGAATTGATCATTCCAGTTCTGGCTTGGCCTTTTCAACAGATTCAGGTCTATATTTCTGCAAAAGTTTCTGGGATTATAGTTTTAAATATTCTGCTTCGTTGTTTTGCTTTTCTTCTGGGACTCCAATTATGTTTACGTTGGGCCTGCTTAGCTATCTTTTATTTCAGTCAACTTGACTTCAACCCTTTTATATTTATATACACATACACACACACACACACACACACAGACACACACACACACACACACACACACACACACACACGCATTTTTACCCCAAATACTTATTTGACAGTATTTGTTTTTGTTTTTTGAAGACAGGGTCTTGCTCTGTTGCCGAGGCTGGAATGCAATGACTCAGTTGCAGCTTACTGCAGCCTTGACCTCTAAGGCTCAATCAGTCCTCTCACCCCAGCCCTCCCTAGTGGCTGGGACTGTAGGCATGTGCCACCATGCCCAGCCATTAAAAAATTTTTTTTTTCTTTTTTCTTTTTGAGATGGAGTCTTGCTCTGTGGCCTAGTGCAGTGGCGCAATCTCGGCTCACTGTAAGCTCTGCCTCCCAGGTTCATGCCATTCTCCTGCCTCAGCCTCCCGAGTAGCTGGGACTACAGGCGCCCACCACCACACCTGGCTAATTTTTTTTTTTTTTTTGTATTTTTAGTAGAGATGGGATTTTACCGTGTTAGCCAGGATGGTCTTGATCTCCTGACCTTGTGATCCACCTGCCTTGGCCTCCCAAAGTGCAACCCGGCATTAAAGAATTTTTTTTATAGAGATGGGATCTTACTATGTAGGCCAGGCTGGGCTCAAGTGATCCACTCACTCCAGCCTCTCAAAGTGCTGGGATTACTGGTGTGAGCCACTGCACCCAGCTGATAATATTTGATTCAAGTTCAAGGGTTTTGTTATATTCTTCAGTTTTGTGTTTGCTTTTATTTTAGGGAGTGTGATGGGTTTTCCTCAGCTGAAATGATTTGCTTTTTCTTTGTTTTTTTAAAATAGATTTTTAAAATGGATGTAGTCTATTCTATTTCCATTCATTGCATAGGCCAGGCTTGTGGCCAGAGCGTCCTCTTCTGTCAGTTCTGCTGTCTTGCATAGTTTCTTTTATAGGTGATGCTGGTGAGGGAGGGAGGAGGGAGGGGCTCGTGTATCTCGTTTGCGTTTTGTTTCTATAGGATCCTTAAATGTTTTTCTCTTAGTTTCTTCTTTTTTTCACTGCCATTGGTTCAAGGGCTGCCACTCCCCCCAGAACTGATGTTTTTCAGAGCCTGCCTGTCCTAGTCTTGCTCCCATTCAGACCCCTTCCCTGGAGTGGGTGCTGTGAGCTGTGTGGGTTCTCTGTTGTGGCAGTTGTGCTGGGTGTCCTCTTTCTGAGACTTCTTTTACCTGTGCTTCATGTAAGTTCTCCAGGCTGTACTACTTTTTATGGAGTCTTAAGCGTATTCTCCCCGACTTTCTGCATCCATAGACTTGCAGCTGTGTTGGAATTTGATTATTTTTCTACTTATAGGTCATCTGAATTTGCGCTGTTATCTCCGTGTCAGTGAGAATGTAGGTCATATGTGTCTTTTATTTAAGTTTCTTTTTTATTTTCTGCTTTTTTTTCGGGGAGGGAATGGGGTAAGACTCAGTATCAGCCAGCCATCATTGTTTTCTCTACCTCATCTTCTTATGGAGTCCATTGAAATGGCTTATTGATTTTTATCTCAAAATCGATCTCTCATAGATCTTTATCTCTGCTGTTACAGTCGAGACAAGTATCATGTCTTGCTTCAGTTACTGTAGCAGCCTCATGCCTGTCTGTTTCATTTTGTTTCTTATACATAAGCAAATGTAACCCCTTTTGTTACCAGTGGAAGGTATCCAAGTTACCGGCAGCAAACACGTATGGGTTTGCAGCAACTTCAGTTCTTGCTTCCTCAAAAGAAAGAATTCCACGGAGGAGCATAAGGCAAAAGAAGAGACTGACGCAAGGGTCAGAGCAGGAGCAGAAGTTTATTTAAAAGGCGTCAGAACAGAAAGAAAGGAAAGTACACTGGGAAGAGTCCCAGGCGGGCATGGAGGTCTAATTTGATGTTTAACCTTGATCCTGGGATTTGTAGGCTCGCCCTTTTCCGCAGTTCTTCCCTTAGGGTGGGCTGCCCGCATGCACAGTGCGGGAATTGAGCACAGGCAGCTTGTTTAGGAAGTTGTGTGGGTGCCCATCTGAAGCTTTCTTCCCGTTTCTCCGCCATTTTGTCTCTTAATGTGCATGCCCGGGAAATGGCCTCTCCCTGGCGTCTGCATTCAGTTAACACTTTAGCACAACAGGTGTGGACTGTCAGGAAATGGCCTCTCCCTGGCTCTGGCTGCCAATTTATCACTTTTAGAGAGGCAATGTGATAATTGTTGAGCTATCACCCAACATTCCTAGTGGGTGGTAGAGGCCTCTCCTGCCGGGCTTATGCCTAACTACCTGTAATACTTCAACACATGGATCAGCTTTATCCTTCTGACAAAATGGCTTAGAGTTCAGTGGTCTATAGCAGAGAATGGCCAACTATCATCCCCCAGCCAAATCCACCCTGCCATACTGTTTATTTTTTTTTAATGGCCCATGAGGTAAGAATGGTTAAGAGAAAAAAAAAATTCAAATGTTTACTATTTCATGATATTTACATTATATGAAATTCAATTTTAGTATCCATAAATACCGTTTTATTGGAACACAGGCATGTTCATCTGACGATGTAGTCAGTGGCTGCCTCTGTACTACAGCTGTAGATTTGGATCCTGTGGCAGAGACCTTACGGCCCACGAAGCCTAAGGCATTCACTACTTTCCCCTTTACAGAAGTTTGCTGACCCAGGTCCAGTGTGCTGCATGATGGTCCCCTTCCCTTCCATTGTCAGCTGCTCCCCTCTCCCTTGTTTGCGTCTTCCAAATGCTCTGGGCTTCCACGTCCCCAAGGCTACACTCTTTCTGCCTTTAGTTCTTGGCCTGTGCTGAGAACTCTGCCCCGTCTTCCTGATTCTAAACCCAGTTTTGTAGTCAGCTCCTTTATACATGTTGCATTGCAAGGTCGCTTTATCAGAAGAGCTTCCTCTGTCCCCAGTTCACAGTTCAAGCCCTATTTGTTATTCTCTGTCTCAGCTCCTTTTTTCCTGTGTGTACTATTAAAACTTATTTTGTTCATTTGACTGCTTTATCTGTCTGTGTATCTAATCATGCATTTTGTCTTTCTATTGTAATGTGGATTCCAAGAGCAGCTACCTGTCTGTCTTATTTATGGTTGTGTTTCTAGTAAGTCTAACATTCATCTGGCTCATAGTAGATGCTCAGTAAATATTTGTTCTAACAAATTATGAACAAAGGAAAATTTAGTTAAGTGGCGTAGAGATACTAGAGAAAATATCATGGGGGAAAATGATTTGAAAAAAAACTACATTTTAAAAGTCGTATAGAAATGTGGAGGGGAGAGTGCAGAAACAGAGACCTTTACTAGAAGCTTGAAGTAAATGGAGATGCATGGACAAAATTAAAATAGTAGCCATTTCTGTACCTAATAGGGCCTCTCAGCTAACCCTACAATGGGGATGGTCACTGGTAGTGTGTTCTGCTGAGAGTTAGGGATTCTTACTCTGCTTTGCTGGCCCAGCCCCTGACTCATTCTCTATCCCCTTTCTCTCTCTCTCTATTTCTGCCCACCACTAACCCCAGCCTTTCTCAAGGGGCTCATGCAGACCCCATAATACTTGTAACTTCGTTATCCAAAAGCAAAGTTTTCTTTTTCTTTTCTGGAGACTGAGTCTCACTCTCTTGCCCAAGCTGGAGTGCAGTGGTGCGATCTCGGCTTACTGCAACCTCCGCCTCCTGGGTTCATGCCATTCTCCTGCCTCAGCCTCCCGAGTAGCTGGGACTACCGGAGCCCGCCACCACGCCCGGCTAATTTTTTGTGGTTTTAGTAGAGACGGGGTTTCACTGTGTTAGCCAGGATGGTCTCGATCTCCTGACCTTGTGATCCGCCCTCCTCGGTCTCCCAAAGTGCTAGGATTACAGGCGTGAGCCACTGTGCCCGGCCAATTTTTATATTTTTAGGAGAGACAGGGTTTCACCATGTTGGCCAGGCTGGTTTAACTCCTGACCTCAGGTGATCCGCCCACCTTGGCCTCCCAAAGTGCTAGGATTACAGGTAAGAGCCACCGTGCCTGGCAAAAGCACACTTTTAAGGTCCTCAGAAGCTCAAAAGTGAACTTAATCTTTTGGCATTTTTCTTTTCTTTTCTTTTTTTTTTTTTTTTTGAAACTGAGTCTCGCTCTGTCGCCCAGGCTGGAGTGCAGTGGTGCAATCTTGGCTCACTGCATTCTCCTGCCTCAGCCTCCTGAGTAGCTGGGACTACAGGCGCCCGCCACCACGCCTGGCTAATTTTTTTGTATTTTTAGTAGAGACGGGGTTTCACCGTGTTAGCCAGGATGGTCTCCATCTCCTGATCTTGTGATCCGCCCGCCTCGGCCTCCCAAAGTGCTGGGATTACTGGCATGAGCCCCTGCGCCCGGCCCATACACTTTAGTCAACTTTTTATTACAGGTCATTTTTTTGCCTGTACATGCAGATGCATCCCACTTTATATATATAAGAATATTTTGTAGTAGCTGTCCAGTAATTTATGTAAGCAGTGTCCTATTGGTGATTGAAGTTTTTCATTTCTTAGTTATTTTTTTCAATTAGAAATATTACAGCATTGAGCTTCTGTATGTATTACCTTTTTGCGGGTGATAAATCTTTCCATAGGTTTAAATCCCCAAAGTGGGCTGTTCATTTCTGAGAGTTTACATATTTAAATATGATAGATGCTGCCAAATTATCTTCTGGAAGGAGTGTACTGGTTTCCATTCTCACTGGAATTATCAAAAAAATGCATGTTTCCCAATACCTTTGCTAATGTTGTGAGTTATCAGTTCTTCTTTCTAATTTGTAGAAGAAAAATAATAGTTTTTATTTGCATTTCTCTGACTTTTAGTGAGCTTGAATTTTCTTCAGCAGAGCATAGAGATAAGAGCCAAACTGACCTGCATTTTTTATGTCACGTCTGTCCTTTCTTGGTGAACTGCCTGCCTTTCCAATGCAGTAGCTCATGGTTTCCACTGAAAATGTGAACATTAACTTCATAAGGTCACTAGGTGTCACTAGAATCCCATTCTGTTGGGTTCCTTCTGGGAGTGTTCATTTTAAGATCAGATGGCAATTGATAAAATTCTGACATTTCCTTTGGATGTAGAAATTTTTACCTTGAAGAAAGAATACATAAAGTTGAAATAAAGGTCAGCTTGGCCCCCACTCTAAGTTCTGTTGAAGACAATTTATCATTTTTAAACAACTGCAAACTAACAGCTAGGTGGGGAATACGGTTCACAGGCTTTGTCCTTGCTAGGCTGAGAGTTGGTTGCTGACCGAAGGCCATCACCCCCTGCATTTAGTGTTTGCTGGAAACAGGGACATATTCCTGCATAACCACAACACAGGCCGACATTAGGGGCTTACCACGGCTCCTTTCCTCCCGGAATCCTCAGACTCCATTCCTATCCTACCAGCAGCCAGCTCCACTTCCCGCCTCCTCAGCCTTCTCACCCTGCAGCCATTCCTTAGTCTTTCACTGGCTTTTGTGACTTTGACACTGTTTAAGGTCACTGACCAGTGATAGGAACGTCCCTCAGTTTGGAACGGTCTGATGTGTCCTCCTAATATCACATCAATGTGTAACAGTGGATGTGTAGCCATTTAGGACTGGGCAAATTACTCAACTGCTGGGCTCTAGGTTCCTCCAGTAGCTCCTGAGTTAACTTCCTACGGTTATTTAGTGCTAGACCACAGAAGTTCGCTCTCTGCTGGCAGAGCACTGTTGTGCAGACTTCTCTGAGTCTCCTGTGTTCTTCCTTGTGTGTCAGGGACACACGTGAAGGATAGCGTGCTTCGCGGCTGGAATCTTCAAGGAGATGCCATTCACTTTTTTACCTCACTAACACAGTGCCGTTTACAAAAAAGATTAATGTACTTTTCCTGAATTGACTTACTGACTGGGCCTAGAGAATAAGATACTGGTGCTGGGCAGTTTGGCACAAGAGTAGCATAAAGAATGCAGGATTGGCCCAGGTGAAGGCATCGTCCTAAGGGTAGAATGAGAGTCGGTGGTTCCTGGCCGACCTAGCAGGTGTACTGTGGGAAGTGCTGGAGTGAATCGGCTCTCTGGGGAGAATAAGCTCATCACAGCACGGCTTCCCGAGGAGAACGTTGCTGCTTTGATTTCTGTTGGCTCTGAGGCAGCAGCAGGTCAAATAGTTGGTTCTCTGTTTAGAGACATCTCTTGAAACACTTTTCGTTTTGACCACTAGATGGTGGGATAATGTTATCATTTTACATTTCTGAAGAAAAATAGAAATCTAACTGGAAGCTTTTTTGTCTGTTCAGTAGATTTTGGTTGGACCCCTGGTAAACATGGGTTTCAGTGTAGCAGCTTTAATGTGTTACCACGTGTGCTAAAGCATAGCTGTTGGCATGCAGAACGGCATTACCAGCAGTAAGTGCCACTTACTTCTTCATAGTGAGTGATGATAGTTACACCCAGGTAGATGAAATTCAGGGAGAGCATCTCTGTGCACCTTACATCTTATCACTCTGAAGGATATGTGGTTGGGAAGCTTCTCCCAAAGGAACAGAACACATCTTCCACAACTGTATAACCTATGTCAGGCACACGTTTTCCTGGGTTGAATCAAGCCCTTCCTTAAACTGCTAACTTAAAGAATACTTACTGGTTTTGTAAAGTTTGGCAAATGATCTTCTCTGCTCCTCGGTTTTCTGTGTTGTGCAATAGGAGGCAATGGTAGTGGCTTTTCCAGCACGGTTGGTGTGAGGCTTCTCATGAGCTGGGTGACCTTTGTCCTGATGATGGTGGTGATTTTAATACTGTGTATTTGATAACACGATTATCTAGGGTCTCCTCTACGTCTTTCGTCCAGATGCATCTCAGCCACCCCCCTTTTGCTGTTCCCTTAGGCATAATAGTGGTAAATCGGTGACATTTTGCTTGAGTAAGAAGAAGCTGCTAAAAACTTCTCATGCTTAAAATTGGTAATTAAGGGGACTTTTTAAAAAGAAGCACAGTTAAAAAACATTTCCTTCCTCGTTCTCTTCCACCCGCCTCCCTTTCCCATCACTTTTATTAGATACAGCATTCTGCTCACCCCATTATTGCAGGCTCAGATAGTTGGTTTGTTTTTTTAAAATCAGCTTTATAAAAACATTTACATAAAATAAAATGGACCCATTTTAAGTGTACATTCACGGGTTTTTTGTGTATACCTGTGTCACCACCACAACCAAAATACAGAGCATTTTCATCACCCCAAAATCTCCTTCGTGTCCATTTGCTGTCGGCCTCCCTGCCCCCTCCTCCCACCCCAGGGCAGCCACAGATCTGGTTTCTGTCATTAAAGATTAGTGTCACCAATTCTGGGGCTTCAGATCAGTGGAATCATCCAGCGTGTACTATTTTGTGCCTGACATCACTGAAGGTGATGTTTTTGCGATCTGTCCGTGTTGTTTGTAGCAGTGGTTTCACTTCCTTTTATAGCTGAGTAGTATTCTATTGTAGGCATGTAGCTTGGTGCCACCAGTTGATGGAGATTGGGCTAGTTTGCCATTTTAGGTTATTATGAATAAAGTTACAATGGACATTTACATTTGTGTCTTTGTATGCTTTCATTTCTCTTGGGTCATTACCCAAACTTTTCCAAGGTGGTTATGGCACTGTATATTCCCACCAGCAGTGTTCCTTTCACTCCACGTCTTCACCAATAGTTGAAATTTATCCATCTTTTGAATTTTAGCCATTCAAGCAGATGTGTAGTGGTATTTCATGGTTTTTTTTTTCCCAACATTGTTTTAAGATCTAATTCATATGCTACACAATTTGTCCAATTAAAGTATACAATTCAGTGGTTTTAAATATACAGTCAGGTATTGCTTGACGACAGGGATGCCTTCTGAGAAACGAATAGGTGATTTTGTTGTTGTGGAGACATCACAGTGTGTATTAACACACACCTGCATGACATAGCTACTGCACACCTAGGCTCTGTGGCACAACCTGTTGCTCCTAGGCATAAACCTCTACAGCATGTGCAGTTGTGAAACAGTGGTAAGTATTTGTGTCTCTGAAATACTTAAACATAGAAAAGGTAGAGTAAAAATATGGTATAAAAGATAAAATATGGTACACCTACATAGGGCGTTTACTATGAATTGAGCTCGCTAGACTGGAAGTTGCTGTGGTTGAGTCGTTGAGTGAGTGGTGAGCGAATGTGAAGGCCTAGGACATTACTACTATACAGTACTATGGACTTTATACACGTCATACAGTTAGGTTACACTGGATGTATATTTTTTGGAGCAACTGTATTAACTGATACTATAACGTTTTTTTAAAGACAAGGTCTTGCTTTGTCTCCCAGGCTGGAGTGAAGTGGCACATTTATGGCTCACTGTAGCCTCAACCTCCTAGGCTCAAGCAATCCTCCTGCCTCAGCTTCCTGAGGAGCTGGGACTACAGGCGTGTGCCACTATGCCTGGGTAATTTATTTTTATTTTTATTTTTGTAGAGACGGCATTCTTGCTACGTTGCCCCCACTAGTCTCCAACTCCTGACCTCAAACAGTCCTCCTACCTCCGCCTCCCAAAATGTTGGGATTACACATGGGAGTTATTGCACCCGGCTCCTCCCATAAGTAAATAATCTATCTCTCTGTTACTTGTGGTGGGAGGAAAAGAAAAAAAACACCTAGGTTATGTATAATACCTAATACGAGTACTTCGTAAGTAGTTATTATACTGTTTTTTTTTTTTTTTGAAACGGAGTGTCGCTCTGTCGCCCAGACTGGAGTGCAGTGGCGTGATCTCGGCTCACTGCAACCTCTGCCTCCCAGGTTCAAGCGATTCTCCTGACTCAGCCTCCTGAGTAGCTGGAATTACAGGCACGCACCACCACGCCCGGCTAATTTTTGCATTTTTAGTAGAGACGGGGTTTCCCCATGTTAGCCTGGATGGCCTTGAACCACTGACCTCCCGCCTCAACCTCCCAAAGTGCTGAGATTACAGGTGTGAGCCACCACGCCTCGCCTATACTGTATTTTTTTTTTATTTGGCCTTACTATAGCTTTTTTACATGATAAACTTTGTAATTTTTTAAATTTTTTTACTCTTTTGTAATGCCTTAAAATACATTGTACAACAGTATAAAAATACCTTATATCTTTATCAGCTTTTTCTATGTTTTAATTTTAATTTTTACTTTTAAACTTAAAAAAAACTAGGACACAAAGACACACATTAGCCTGGGCCTACACAGGGTTAGGAACATCAGTATGTCGCTAGGCGATAGGAATTTTTCAGCTCCATTATAATCTTATGTGATCACTGTTGTGTATGTGGTCTGTCATTGACCAAAAGGTTGTTATGCGGCATATAACTGGATTCACAGAGTTGTGCAACCGTCACCACAATTTAAAAACATTTTCGTCACCTCAAAATGAAACTTGCACCCCTTAGCCCTATCCCCTATTCTCCCGCCAGCCAAGGCAGCCTCTAGTAGTCTACTTTCTTTCTCTGTGGATTTTCCTTTTCTGGACATTTCCAATAAGCGGAATCATATGATATACGGCCTTCATGTCTGGCTTCTTTCTCTTAGCATAATGTTTTCAAGGTTCAGTATGTTGTCATCTGTATTAGAATTTCATTTCTTTTTATGGTGGAATCATGTTCCATTGTATGGACACGTGCGCACGCACACACACACACACACACACACAGAAGAACTAAATATTACAAGGCTTATCATGAAAAACAATGGTCTCTTTCTTGACCCTTTTCACCCTCAATTCCTGTTCCCCAGAGGCAGCTCCTTTCACACTTGTGGCTGCTTCTGCAGATAAGCTGTTCGGTGACCTCCATATTTCTAAATACTGTGGCCGTATTGCTGTTTCGGTTTTTCAGTTTCAGGTATTATCTAGTGACTTTCTGATAGGGAAGTGAGAATTTCGTTTTTAATCCGCCCCTCTGAGTGCACCTCACTCCCACATACACTCATCTGCTGTTTGCATGGACACATTCATGTGCAGGCTCTTTCCACTCTTGATTGCAGTGTACATGATACATTTTGGTTAAATCGGTAGTTTATGTTTACATCATTATGAATGTGGAAGTTGTGTGTTAGGCTGAATCTCAGAGTGAACCATGAATATATTTCCTTTCATGGAAAACTTTTTGTTTTCCCTGAGCTTGGCCTGGTGTCCTTTGAGTCCAGAGCTTCTCAGGCTCCACTTATGTGAACATGGACCCAGTGCCCCCATTGGACACAGGGTGGCAGTGAGTGGGCACAGGCAAGGAGAGAAGGAGAGTCGCTCCCTCTTTTCAGCCTTCCACCCTCTGCCCTCTGCACTTTGCCCCCTGCCCCACCCCAGACTGCTGTGGCTTCACCTGCGCCTCCTGCCCTTGAGGGGTTCTGAGCTCCAGGTTCTGAGCTCCAGATGGACTCCTCCCCCGCCCCAGCTGCCAGGCTTGGGTTTCCCTTTTTTTTTTTATTTGTTTGATTTCATTTCCCCAGACAGCTCTTATCTACTCTTTATTTTTGTTGGTTTATGTCTTTTTGTTTTCCTTTACTATCATTTTATTGGGGTTTTGGGGGTCAAGAGAAAAGCATGTGCTAAGTCCACCAGATTTAACCAGAGGTCAAAAACCTTCCATTTTTATTGTCTAAATATTATTCAGTTAAGGATTCCCCCTCCCCATCTTAGTCCCCAACTGCCTTTGCTGAATCTTTAGCGTCTCCTGCCACAGTTATTGCAGTATTCCCTGACTGGCCTCCTCCTCCTGGACCAGTGATCTGCCCACGACCCCTCCCTCACACCTGTCCCCATGCCCCAGACCCACAGGACAGGGTCCAAGCTCATTAGCTTAGAAAGTACAACCCTTGGAATCACATGAATTCTTTTTTTGTTGCTAGTCTCCTAAGTTGCATTCATTCACTCAGTCATACAAATGGTGTATGTTTTCCCCACAATGTCACCCTGTTTGCTGCACTGTGCTTGAGTCTATGCTCTGCTTCCAGATGGAAGATCTGTGTCCTCCCACATCTGCCTCCTTGTCAGAGTTGAGTCTGGTGATCATCTCTGACCTGAAGCTTTCTCTGAACCATACTCGTTATGCAACCTGTTGCTGCTTTTCTGCCTGGTTGTACTTCTCTTGTTACAATTACTGCACTGTGTTCTTTTTTAAATTTGTACATTTTTGCAGATTTCTCTGATGCCTGGCTTAATAGAAGACAGTTGCCTTCTCATATCTGCCTCTGCATTCAGTGTATTGGGGTGGCACATGTCGTTTTGCTTCGGAAAATTCCACTGCATTGTATACTGAGGGGATAATGCGAGATGAGAAAGGAAAATCACACGTTAGTGTTGTTATAAAGATAGTATTGACTTTACACACCCTCAGAAGGGGGTCAGGGATGCCAGGATGACATTCACTACCCTAGTGTCACTTACCACATTGCATAGACCATACTGTGCCGTACAGAGGCACATATTTCTGAAACTTCCTTTATTCCTAATATATTTTGTAGAAATTTCTATATCAATATGGATATGTGTTTTTTATTGCAGTGTACTTTATTTTTTCAAATAACTGTTCGTGTGTTAGATGTTGAACGGTGATAGGCCTGTGAGGGATAGTTGGAGAGGTGAGTAGAGGCCTTATAAAAACACTTAAACAGCAGATGAGTGAGAATATGCTCTAAACATGGGAGTGACAGAAGGTTTTTATCTAGGTTGGGAAGAAATTTAAGATTAATATTTCAGGAATGTATGAGTGAATTAGAAGAGGAGAAACAAATAGTAGGGCAGGAGATCATTTAGAAAATCATAATTATTTAGACTTGAGTGACAGAATGCTAAGAAGGAGATAAGGGTCACAGGAATCCAGAGATACGAAGGTGGACAGGAGAAATGGCAGGTGTGTCCACAGGGCAGGAGGAGGAGGCTTGGCAATGCGGAGCATTGGTTGCACACCTGGGCCTTGGGGCTGATGGTGGTGTCTGGACAGAAACACAAAAAGGACAACCCAATTTTGGAGGAAAGAGATGTCCTCTGACTTCAATTTCTTTACGTCCCTTCTACCTCTGAATTATCTGTTTTATGGCCTGTTTACTATTAAATGATCCATTTAATAGCATTTACCCTTAGCTTTATGAGTACCATGCACTAATAATTTTGAAGTATGCTACAAGTCAAAAATTGTTGTGTAAAAATTGTACTTCCTTTACCTGCCTCTTGCTTCTGTTATACTTAAATACCAGATAGAGATGATTTTGGGAAGTTTGATTTATACTGACTTTTGTATTTGCAGTTGTATTTATTTTTTAAAAGTCTGTTAAAATGACCTAGCTATGGATTTCTTAAATTGCTAATACATGTGCAGATTTAGTGCTGTGTCAATGTATAATAGAAGCAAATACTCATTAGACTACCTTAATTTAATTATACAGATGCAGGACAGCTGGAGCACACATTGATGAATCATTGTTCCCTGCAGCTAATATGAATGAACACTTATCAAGCCTAATTAAAAAAAAAGTAAGTACATGATTTCAATGTAGATAATGGCAATTAGGAATTTATTCGTTTTTATTTTTTATTTCTAGAAAATAAAACTTCTAGAAATATATTCAAGAGTTGTCTTAAATATGCTATTGATGATATTGTTCTTTTCACATAGCATTTTTAAGTGAATTACAGAGATTATTTTATCCTATGACTTCTTCGATAGCATTTGTATGAAATGGAAAAGCCTGTGGTTGGCCATGGGAAGACTAAAAGGTGCCAAGAGACAAGCAAACATTTAGGTGCTTTGGTAATTACTTCAGAATGAAGTTTGTTATATCTGTAGCCAAAATACCTGCATTCTGTTTAGCCAGATAAATCTCAAAAGTCCGATGGACCTACATCCAAGTGTGCAAAGTCATTTATTAGGAAAATCTGCTGTACAAATACAGTTGTCCTTCATTATCCACAGAGGATCAGTTCCGGGACCCCCACAGATAACAAAATCCACTGATGCTCAAGTCCCTTATATAAAATGCCATAGTATTTGCATGTAACCTACACAAATCCTCCCGTATACCTAAGAAAGAATTGTTTGTAGAGACAGGGTCTTTCTATGTTGCCCAAGCTAGTCTCAAACTCCTGGCCCCAAGTGATTCTCCTGCCTCAACCTCCCAATTGGGATTACAGGCGTGAGCCACTGCACCTGGCTCCTCCCATGTACTTTAAGTAATCTCTGGATTATTTAAAATACCTAATACAATGTGAATGCTTTGTAAATAGTTGTTACACTGTATTTTTTTTTAATTTGTGTTAAATTTTTTTTCTTTTGAATATTTCCAATCGCGACTGGTTGAATCCATAGATCTGGAACTTGCAGATACAGAGGGCAAACTGTAGAGTTAAAGACATTGCTTTCATTTGAGATAGAATTCACATTTTAACCACAACCTTTTCGGCTTTCTATTTATGTAAAAGTTCTAATTGTGATTTCTTTATCTGAGGGTACTTTACTCTGAAACATCACAGCCAGCTTGTTTTCACATGAGATTCTCTGTTAGAGGGAGGATTTGATGACTTTCTCCAAACTGAACTACATTTCCTGTAGACTAGAGGAGAAATAACTGTGAATTTCACATTTCCTGAAAATAGTAAATGATATTTCTTCGTTACATTTCATCTCAGACAAGCCATAGTTTGCCCATGCAGTGATAGATGAACTTCTTCAGTCTTACCTGATTATAGGTGAACAAGTGTTCAGCAGTCTCTGGACTCCCTGTGACATGCTAAAATCAAGTGTTTATTGTAAAAACACATCAGTAGTACATACATATTTTCTTTGTAAAACATTTAGTAAACACAGACATCTCTTTGATTGCCCTCCCTCAATGTAAGCAGCTTTCAATTTGATGAGTATCCTAGGTGGCATTTCTTCAGTACATTACACACATGTACACACTCACACATGCATGCTTGACGTGAAGGGGCTCTGCTATCTTATGTGTATCATTTGGTGAGTTGCCTTCTCTTCCCCAATTAACAATATGGTTTTGACCATTTCATGTCGGTAGCTTTGACTCTACTCAGTTTTCTGTATTGCATTATACATTGTGACTGTTTTTCCGGTATTCATGTACTTTTAGTCACTGTCAGTTTTTGCTAAGTATATTACTTAAGCCACATATTTGAGTTTATTTCTCCAAGTCAGATATCTAGAGATAAAATTACTGGGTAAGAATACATACACATTTTGATTTTACCAGCTCCACCAATCATATACAAGATGACCTATTTCTTGGCCAGATACAGTGGCTCACACCTGTAATCCCAGCACTTCAGAAGGCCAAGGCGGGCAAATCAGTTGAGGCCAGGAGTTTGAGAGCAGCCTGGCCAACATGGCGAAACCCCATCTCTACTAAAAATACAAAAATTAGCCCAACCTGGTGGTGCACACCTGTAATCCCAGCTACTCAGGAGGCTGAGGCAGGAGAATTGCTTGAACCCAGGAGGTGGAGGTTGCAGTGAGCCCAGATCATGCCACTGCACTCCAGCCTGGGCGACAGCAAGGCTCTGTCTCAAAAAAAAAAAAAAAAAAAAAAAAACCTATTTCGTGATACTCTGACCAATATTGGATGTTACTAATCTTTTTAATTTTTCCTAATCTGAAGCATTAATGATTGCTTGTACACTTTACCACTTTAATTTTCATGTCTAAAAACCTTCCCTTTCCTTCTCTTTTCCAAATGTAATTGCAAATTAAACCCGACTCAAGGCCTTATTCTTTTGGGTCCTTGAGATGGTTCTGTGCCTCTGTCTCCCCCCTCACCCTGTCTGCTGCCTGCCTGCCCAGCTTGCTGTTCCTCAAGCATGCCAATCGTATTTCTATTTCAGAGCCATTGCGTTATCTGTTCCCTCTGTCTGGAACATTCTTCCCCCAAAATCCTTACACATGACCCGTTTTCCAGCCTCCCTATGGCTTTGTGCAGATGTTACTTTCTCTGTGAGACCTATCCTGCCACCCGTTTATACCAGCAGTTCCTTCCCACTTGTGCCAACTATGCAAGTCTCTTTTCATCTGCAGTGCTGACTGGCTCCTCCTAACACACTGTAGTAATGTGGGCAGTTTGATGGAATACAGTTGCTAGAGAAGATTCACAGGACCCCAAAATAACAATGTGTCCAACCTGCACCGTACCTGAGAACCAGGAAGCGCAAGATGGAGTGTCTTCTTGTATACTGCTGACCCTGAGTCTATATGAACCAGCCCCACTGGCAGAGCCTCCAGGCAAATCCTTCATCTCACTACTCATAAACAATGTTGACAGGCCAGCACAATCTGTCCCCAAACTTCCCGGACCTGTGGCTATAAAGCACCACTGTCTAATTAGTACATTTTGTGTCATGCAGGTACTTTAGTGAAAGCAGTGCAGGCCGGTTCCAAGCCTGTTGAAATGAACCTCCCAAGACACATACAATTTACTTATTTATTATGTTTATTTGCTGTCATTCCTTACCAGCATACAAGCTCCATGATGACAAGGATCTTTCTAGGTTGCAAGACCAGCGCCTGACATAAAGTCATGTTTTTTGTCAATAAATGAGTGAATAACTAACAGAGCAAGATCCCCAGTATAGGCATTAGCCTTGAGTAGCTAAAAGAAGTTCTTTCTATGAGACTGGAGCAAAAGAAGTTAGCGTTTACGTGGGTAGCTAGCTACCCATGTAAGCAAATTTGGGCTGGTAGCTTCGCGCTGAAAACGAAGGAACCTAGACAGATGACTTAAATTTCCCTGGGGTCCTATAAGAAAGAAGTCAGGCATAAAAGTGTTATAGGTAAAATCGATGTGAAGTTCAGTATGTGTATTTGTGCTGATGGCTGGGCTAAAGACGGGAAGTCAATGGGCAGTTCCAAGAACAGAAAGTGGGGTGGGTAAGGCTGGGAACGTGAGGTGTGTTTCAAAGGAAACATTTCCCCTGTCTGAGGATGGTTAAGAGTAGAGTTAACCCAAGACCTTCCTGTGGATATCAGCCTGGGGTTTCATGTGTTTGTGAGTGTAGTTACAGTTTTTGGGTTTTACTGGCTGATTGGAGTTACTGTGATTTAATGACGGTAGGGCAAGCATAATCATGGTTCTTTTCTTTGGTAATTATAAAATAGAAATTGTTTTATTACTGTGTTGTGGTCTTGCAGGGAGGATGACGTGAGAATAGTGCTACCAAGCAGGCAGTGGGCGTGCTGCCAACCCACATAGAGTCCAAGATCATGCCACTTGTTTTGAGAAAAGAAAGGCTTTATTGCAAGTTGCCTGGCAAGGAGACAGGAGGAAACTCTCAAATCCGCCTCCCTGAGGTGGGGGCTCAGGCAGTTTCATAGGCAGAGAAAACAAAGTGTGATCTGATTGGATCTTGCAATGGGGTGATGCTGGGAGGTGTCATCTGACTGGGTTGTGTCACAAGGTGATGCCAGGGCTCAATCTGATTGGATCATGGATTATGCCATCAGGTGTTTACTCCTTAATTTGGCCCCCGTTCCTTGGTCTAAGTGCTTAGGTTCTGCCCGTGGTTACATGCTTGGTTCACCTGGGCATGCTCAAGTGACGTAACTTGCAACTTCAGGGGCCGTGGCAATTAAACAGTTCACCATTTTGATACACAAAGTTGAACTAGATTGGGCTGGTTTGGTGGTAAGAACAGCAAAAAATCGAAAGAGACTGGCTAAAAACTTTCATGGAAACTAAGAATGCTAGGATCATGAAAATGTCTCACAAAGCATAATACAGAGCCTTTTATACAGTCTTTTAAATTCTGTCCATTTTCTTTATAACTGCACAAAAAAATAAATATTGCCAGTTCACATACAGTGCAAGAAACACCTCTTTTAGAATTTTTTATTACTGATGTTATAAAAGGTATCAGAAATGTATGCGAAAGGGCTTTTTCTCCTGCCTTAAGCAGTTGCAGTACAGCATTAATTTTTGTGTTCTTTTTGCACAGCGTAAATGTATGCAGCCCAAAGATTTTAATTTTAAAACACCAGAAAATGATAAGAGATTTCAGAAGAAATTTGAGAAAATGGCTAAAGAGCTACAAAGGCAAAAAACAAATCTAGGTAAGCTAAGAAATATAATACAGTTCTTTGCATTTGTGTCCATACACCTTGTTTAATTTGCATGATGACTAGTGGGGTTCAGCATGAGAGAGCTGATGAAGACTATGATAGCTTTACTCTATGAAGGAGAAAACAAAATGTCAGGAGCCTGCGGGAGACTTGGCTGGGAGCCATAATAGAGCCACGCAGCTTGAGCTAATCGACCACAGTCTTAACCATTCATCAAGGTGGTCGAACTTTTTATTTTCGGGAATGATTTCAGAAGAAAAGCAAACTTTGGCTAATAAGCATTATTGAAATAAATACCTATTTATTTCTTCTTTATATATAACTTTGTATTTTTACCTAATTGGCATTTTTGTTTTGTTACCCTGAATAGGCAAATCTTAGATGATACATTATTTTAGTGATTTGGGAAAATACTTTAGAATATTATGTTCTATAACAAGATGTCTTAGAAAAAAATATATGTATTCTTATGTATATATATTGTTAAATAATATTTTTATATATAAGAATATTATGGGCTGGGCACAGTGGCTCACGCCTGTAATCCCAGCACTTTGGGAGGCAGAGGCGGGCGGATCACGAGGTCAGGAGATAGAGACCATCCTGGCTAACATGTTGAAACCCTGTCTCTACTAAAAATACAAAAAAATTAGCTGGGAGTGGTGGCAGGCGCCTGTAGTCCCAGCTACTTGGGAGGCTGAGGCAGGAGAATGGGGTGAACCTGGGAGGCAGAGCTTGCAGTGAGCCGAGACTGCACCACTGCACTCCAGCCTGGGCAACAGAGTGAGACTCCAACTCAAAAAAAAAAGAATATTATGAAACATTAAGATGCTTTGTACGTTTTTGGTATTTCTGTTTTGCCTTTTTCACTGTCGTCTAAAGTCAGTATTTCCTACTAATTCTGACACAGCATTGCTACAGATAAGCAATTATGGTCACTAGAAATTCCTAGGAAGCATTAATTCCTCTAGTTTTTGTTTTCTTTGTTTTAATCTATGTTACTATGTCACAGATTCTCTATTCTGTGTTTTGAAATTATTCAAATAGAATTGTCGAGATTTATTTTATTTATTTTTTTGAGATGGAGTCTTTCTCCATCACCAGGCTGGAGTGCAGTGGTGCGATCTTGGCTCACTACAACCTCCACCTCCCGGGTTCAAGCAATTCTCCTGGCTCAGCCTCCCGAGAAGCTGGGATTATAGGGGCGTACCACCACGCCCAGCTGATTTTTGTATTTTTAGTAGAAACAGGGTTTCACCATGTTGGCCAGGATGATCTCAAACTCTTGACCTCGTGATCTGCCCGCTTCAGCCTCCCAAAGTGCTGGGATTACAGGCGTGAGCCACCGCGCCCGGCCAAGATTTATTTTAAATCTGTGACGATAATGCGACAGAACTGGGTAGAACACTTAGCCCACATAGTGCTGCCACATAATTTTCCAGAAACATGGCCTGCATCATTTGTTTCATGCTCAGCCCTCCCGCTGCCTCACCTGGTGCGTGTCCATCCTTCCTTCACACCAGCTGTCTCGTCTTCGTCAAAGCTCAAGCCAGAAACGTGCAATCGTCCTTGACATCTCCTTCTTCCTGACACTAACCCCCATCAAGACCATGGCCCTGCTTCTGAAATAGTTGTTTGACTTCTTCTGTTTTCTCCTTCCCTCCTCTCTCCCCTGATGCCTGGATCATCCCTCCTGCACCACTGCAGCCACTCCTTACGCTGCCCTCCACTGTCTCCTTACAGTTCATCTCTGTGCTGCAGTCACAATGGTGAAAACTTTAAACCAGAAGGACATCCCCTCCCTGGTTTAAAATTTCCTGGTGTCATCCCAAGGAAAAATATTCAGGATAAAATCCTGTATTTAACATATCCTCCAATTTACTAGGTGCTTTATGATCTGGCCTCTCTTTCTAGCCTCATAGCAATATTGCACACTCTCCTATAATTCTTTATACTTTTGTCACTTTGGCCTTCTTTGCTATGTCAGTGACAGTGTATTTGAAAATACTTTGGCAACATGGTAATGATAGATACAAAATTTTCTTCTTAGACCAAATATGTATCGTAATTAAAAACTATATGTATAAAGTATTAATGATTCAACTAATGTACATTTGTATATTGTCAGAACTACAGTAAGGGTGATTCAGGCTTAAGAGTCCCAAAGGAGAATATATTAAATGATTCTTGGTATTTTTTTGTTGGGGGTGAGTATCAAAGTTCTGAAGGGCTCTTTGAGCATATGCAAGGTAGCATTCCAGAAAAAAACACAACTCTGCACCCACACAAAACGAGCTCATAACTTCATGGTTCCGGGACCATGCTGATCCCACTTCATGCAGTCAAGTTCATGTCTGGGTCTGTGAGTGTGTTTGAGGGTAGGAGTGATGGTTCATGGGGGCAGTTTCTGAAACCTGAGACAAGAAACAGAAACTAAATTGCATTCCAGCTTTACAACTTTTAACTTCTGTGTCTCAGTCTTTGTCTTCAAGTGGGGATACTGATTTGGGTTTGGATTTGAGGTTGGATGCACTAATGCATATATTGTTCTTAGCACAGTGCTTGGTGAGGGCAGTTGCTCAGCAGATGTGAGCCAGCAGCTGTAGCAGCAACATCACTGCCTGTGGAGGTGGTGGAGGTAGAATATTAGCAGGAGTAGGTAATGATGTTGAAAGGGAAGAAGGAAAACGGGGTGTGGGGGGTTGTTCTTTAAAAGGAATCACATTCCTGAAGTATGAAGGCACTTTTTGGTCTTAAAGTGGATTTTTTGTTTATTTTCAGATGATGATGTACCTATTCTCTTATTTGAATCTAATGGTTCATTAATATATACTCCCACAATTGAAATTAATAGTAGGCACCACAGCGCAATGGAGAAGAGATTACAAGAGATGAAGGAGAAAAGGGAAAATCTTTCCCCCACCTGTAAGTAATTAGTTTGTAAAATGAAAATTATGCAAATAGCCGATTCAATTATGGTGGAAAGCTTCTTTTTTCTTTGCCTAGATATTTTAATGTTTCCTGGTAGTAACACATTTTGACTTATTTCATGGCTGGCTTTGTTTTCCAGAAAATCTTATGCATCATTAAGATTTTTGAAGCATATGTTGGGTGTATAGTATTCTTCAAGTTTAAAATCCTATTTGTTGTAGCTCCTTTGTAATTTCTATTATCTTTGGAATTTTTTCTTTCTTTTTTTTTAAAAAAAAATGAATCATGTCTTTTTTTTTTTTTCTGAGATGGAGTTTTGCATTTGTCACCCAGGCTGGAGTGCAGTGGCGCGATCTGGGCTCACTGCAACCTCCCTAGTTCAAGTGATTCTACTGCCTCAGCCTCCCGAGTAGCTGGGATTACAGGCGCCTGTCACCACTCCTGGCTAATTTTTTTTTGTTTTTTTGTATTTTTAGTAGAGACGGGGTTTCACCATGTTGGCCATGCTGGTCTTAAACTCTTAACCTCAGGTGATACACCCGCCTCGGCCTCCCAAACGGCTGGGACTGTAATCCAGGCGTGAGCCACCGCTCCTGGCCGTGAATCATGTCTTTTGAAGGAATTTGCTTTAGATTAATGTATCTAAGGAATCAGTTTGTTTTTCATTATTTCTTTTATCTTTAAAATTTTTAATTACTGAAGTGTAATTCACATTTTAATAAAACATTTATCAAAGTAGCTAATAGTAAAAGTTCATCTTGATACCCATCTAATTGTACTCTTCTACCTGGGGGTAACCTGTATTTTAAGTTTAAGTGTTTTTCCAGATCTGTTTCAGTGTATCAGATATCTGTGTATACATGAAAAAGATACGGGTTTGGTTTCTGTGTGGAGGTGTAATTTCTGTTTTACCTAAATTAGATAATGACATATGTATTATTATCCGCTTTATTTACTTAAGAGTATCCTGGAGGGTTTGTTTGCAGCTTAGTTGTTGTAGACCTATTTTTGTTTTAAGATGCTCAAAGTAGTCTACAGTTTTGATATTGAAAATCTATTGGTGGGTATTTTTTTCCCAGTTATTAGAAATTGTGTTGCAGTTTTTATTCTTTTTTTAACCATATGGTTTGGTTGTTCTTGTTTTTTTGTTAAGCCATTTTCCTTTCTCTAGACATAAGTCTTTCCAGCTTCCCACCCCGACTTTTTACTGTTATAACCCCTGCATGTGCCTACGTGAATCCTTGTATTTCTGAGTACTTCGTGTATTTCAATAATACTAATTCATACATGCAGAATTTGATTTTTTAAAGACATAGAGTCTCCCTGTGTTGCGCAGGCAGGACATGCACTCCTGGGCTCAAGTACTTCTGCCTCACCCTCTCAAGTAGCTAGGAATACAGGTGTGTGCCACGATCCCTGGCTTATTGATAGATATAGTCAAATTATCCTTCAAAAAATTTGAGTCATCTTATTGTCACCAGTTGTTTATAAGAATGCCCCTTTCTCCATACTTGGAAAACTGAATGGCATTAGCCTGTAGCCTTTTTCAGTCGGAAGCTTGAAAAACTGGATCTGTTCTTGAAGTTACTTTTGATTAGAAGCAGGTTTAAGTGCCTTTTCATATTACTGACTGACTTACCGAATGCAGCTTTTAATGTGATCAACTATTACCTCGCTTAATTTTATGTCCTTTGTCCATATGTATCAGTTAAGGTTAGTTTCGGCTGCATATAACAAAGACAAAAACCAATGTGTTACAATCGATAGAATTGCCTTTCTCTGTCTTGCCTAGTTCAGAAGTAGGCAGCCAGGGCTGGGATGCCATTCCATGGTGTCTTTAAGAAACTAGGTTCCCATCTTTCTGTTGTACCTGCCTGGCTTTTCTTGCAAAATGTGTGTGCCTCCCAGCTAAGCCATCTCCTTTTGACAGCCTTACCAGACGTCTATCCAATATTCCTGTCTAATTCCATTGGCTGGAATGTGGTCATATGGCCACCCCTTTTGCAAGCAAGACTGAAATGTAGTCTTGACTGGGATGCATTGCTGTCCTGATAAAATCAAAGTTCTGTTGTTAAGAAGAAGTGAGAATGGACATTGAGGTAGATAACTAGCTGTGTCCCAGGTGGACATCCAAATTGTTTCAGTGTGCAATTATGTGTATAAACTAATTTGCCTTAAACTTTACTTTTTCTATTACTTGGCAGTGTTAATTCTGCTACTTTACTGCGTCCAGTACAGTTTAAAACTTAACTGAAAATTTTATGTGTGCTTCCCTTCCTTATCTTGGTTTATTCTCTTTTTTTGCTGAAGTTTTCTCAGAAAAGTATCCTTTTGAGTCTCTAAAAAATATCTTTGGATATAAGATCCAAACATTTCTTTTGTTTCTTGACTATTGTATGAACCGCCTTTGAAGATAATACTTACGATCTTATTTGTTAAGTCATTGACATCCTAAGTGTTTTCTATGAAACCTCTAGGATTTCTCAACCCAGCACAGCTGACATTTGGGTCTGGGTAATTCTTTGTTGGGGGCACTGCCCTGTGTGTGGTAGGAAGCTCAGCAGCATCCCTGCCTCTCCCCACTAACACTAGCAGTGTACCTACTGCTCTCCCTCACTGGCGATATCCAAAAATGTGTCCAGACATTACCAAATATCTGCTGGGACCCCAACGTCACCTCTGGTTGGGAAGCAGTGCTCTAGTTTTAGAGGTAACTATGATGAGCATCCTTGAAGAAAAATCCATGATTATCAAATAAGAAGACTAGAACAGACTGGAAATGTTCACTTAATTCTGTTGAGCTTCTGATTAGATTCAGGCAAGTTGACTTTAAGATCCCTTCTAACTTTGTGATTATAGGATTTAATAGAATCACCTATGATTAATAGGAGGACTTCCTGCTGGCTTCATCTGCTAAGAAATACTGAAACTTTATCTAATGCAGTGTCTTGGTCCTGTTTTTAGCTTCCCAAATGATTCAGCAGTCTCATGATAATCCAAGTAACTCTCTGTGTGAAGCACCTTTGAACATTTCACGTGATACTTTGTGTTCAGGTAAAATTTTTATTTTCCTTTCTGTGATATGTTTAAGTTTTGAGAATAATATGATTTTCTGATTTAGAATTTCATGTAGCAACTTCTGATGAGTAAAATAATTAGTTAAAACTAGAACTTCTAAATTTCCCCCTGAAATTAGGTATTATAATAAAATTAAGGCATGAGTTAAACTTCCTTTTTGGTTCCTATAGGTTTTTTTTCCTAGGCATTTGCTTTCTTGCTACAGAATCCATTGCTCTATTTAAAAAATTATTGTGAACGTATATGAACTAATCTGTATGCAGTTTAAACTACATAGAACTGAGGTCAGAGCTAAGGAAATGTTGTTTCACACAATGTATAATTAACACAAGGAACCTGTTATTGAACGGGGTCAGTGAAGTATGTAAAGATCGTCAATTGAGGAGATAAATAGAGGATTTCTAATTAGAAGCAGAAAGAACACTGGTAGGAATTAGTGCAGTTAGTTCCATGTTACGCACATACATGTTTGTAATGTGGGAGCCCTAGTTCCACTTAGGATGGTAATTTTTCATGGTCATATCTTCTTCGTACCAAATTTCTTACAGTTTCTTCACCTAGTCCCCAGTGGGGCTCAAGTAAGTAGCAGTGATCCCTGAAAGTACTATGTTCAAAAGTGCTTGAGATGTTATGGAAAATTTATCATGAAAGCCACAGCAATGACAAAGCGCAAGATGGCATCAAGATATTAGAAGTTTCAAACAAAGCCTCCTTTCAGCGCAGGGTTAATCCTTGTACTCTCACCTCTGTGTGCTGGAATTATTTACCCATTTCTCTTAAACAGTCTCCATCTTTTTATTTTACACTTGTTACATTTATTTCCTAGAAGTTGGAAACAAGTGATAATAATAGCTAACATTGATTTCATTTTTGTTGTTGTAGGCACTCCTCTAAGTGTCTTATTCACTGTTATCTCATTTATTCTCCCATTAGCCTTAAGAGGTAGGTTCCATCACCATCCCATTTTGCCAGTGAAAAACCAGGACACAGAGGTCAAACAGCTTGTCCAAGGTCATGTGGTTTGTGAATGGCAAACCCAAGCTTCTAACTTAGGCAGTCTGACATCACAGATTACACTCTTAGTGACATGTCACATTGCTTATCGGGTTTTTGAAAAGTGTGATAAAACATAAAACAATTTTAGGTGCTGAATAAGATATATTGAGCATCTAAAATTAAAAGTGACCTTATTTCCAACTACTGCCTTGAAGACACCTGGGGCACAGTTGGAAGGGAAGCTTTGGTGGTTACCTGTGTTCTTCCTTTTTAAAGTAGAACTTCAGTGATTTCAGACAGAGAGTTCTAACACTTACGTGACCTCCAGATTGAGTGATTTCTACAAAACACAGGCCCTCCACCAGCAAGTGCTGAGCCCCTATTGAGGGAGCCAGCACGGGACTAGAGACTTCTTCATATTCATTCCAGTAGCTTATAGCACAGTGACGGGCAGATGCCCACGTAACCATGGGGCAGTATGATGCATGATGGTGTGTAGCAGAGGGGGCAAGGCCAGGGAGAGCTGGCAAGGGCAGTGGGAGGGTCCCAGGGATGTTGACAACCCAGGTGGGTTTGGAAGGATGAATTGTATTTACCCAGAATAAAGTGTGGAGGAAAGGGGAAGGCCCAGAGGGTACAGAGGAGTATAGAATATTTAGGAGGTAGCAGCAGCTTAGCATTACTCTCAGGAAATGAGTAATCCATATAAGAGTTGAAACATTAAAGCCTACCAAATGGCTCACTTTTGAATATCAGTGTAATACGAGGACTTTACTGGAAGACAGGGAAGGTAAGGGTGAGCTGTGTTCATTGAGGGAATGTTTCATGCAAGTCTAGAACTTTCCCTAGATCTTACAACAGTAGTTCTTAGGTTTTAGAATTATTGATCTCCTGGAAAATTTAGTGACAAACTATGGATGCTCTTTTGGAAAATGTGCACATGCATATGGAAATTTGCCTAAAATTTTTAGAAGTTTGTTACACCTCTTCTCTATCCCCACTGCTATCCCATACACCCATCAAAGCCCAGGTTCTCTAGTTAAAAATACTGGCCTAAAATGTACCCTTAAGTGGAAATGAGAAGAACTCAAGTGTGGTTAATAGTCTTCTTAACTAATAGCTGTACTTTAAAAGTTGTTTTATTGGTCAACTGAAAGTTGAATATAGAATAATTTAAACCACTTTTAAAAGTTAGCTCTCCGTTAATGTTTTCCAGATGAATACTTTGCTGGTGGCTTACACTCATCTTTTGATGATCTTTGTGGAAACTCAGGATGTGGAAATCAGGAAAGGAAGTTGGAAGGATCCATTAATGACATTAAAAGTGATGTGTGTATTTCTTCACTTGTATTGAAAGCAAATAATATTCATTCATCACCATCTTTCACTCACCTCGATAAATCAAGTCCTCAGAAATTTCTGAGTAATCTTTCAAAGGAAGAAATAAACTTGCAAAGAAATATTGCAGGTAAAGTAGTCACCCCTGACCAAAAGCAGGCTGCAGGTATGTCTCAGGAGACGTTTGAAGAGAAGTATCGTTTGTCTCCTACCTTATCTTCAACAAAAGGCCACCTTTTGATACATTCAAGACCCAGGAGTTCCTCAGTAAAGAGAAAAAGAGTATCACATGGCTCCCATTCACCTCCGAAGGAAAAATGCAAGAGAAAGAGGAGCACCAGGAGATCTATCATGCCGAGGCTGCAGCTGTGCAGGTCGGAAGACAGGCTGCAGCACGTGGCGGGACCTGCCCTGGAGGCTCTTAGCTGTGGGGAGTCTTCATATGATGACTATTTTTCACCTGATAATCTTAAGGAAAGGTATTCAGAGAATCTTCCTCCTGAATCTCAGCTGCCATCAAGCCCTGCTCAGTTGAGCTGCAGAAGTCTTTCTAAGAAGGAGAGAACAAGCATATTTGAAATGTCTGATTTTTCCTGCGTTGGCAAAAAAACCAGAACAGTTGACATTACCAATTTCACAGCAAAAACCATCTCCAGTCCTCGGAAAACTGGAAATGGTGAAGGCCGTGCAACTTCGAGTTGCGTGACTTCTGCCCCTGAAGAAGCCCTAAGGTGTTGTAGACAGGCTGGGAAAGAAGACGCATGCCCAGAGGGAAATGGCTTTTCTTACACCATTGAGGACCCTGCTCTTCCAAAAGGACATGATGATGATTTAACTCCTTTGGAAGGAAGCCTTGAAGAAATGAAAGAAGCGGTTGGTCTGAAAAGCACACAGAACAAAGGTACCACTTCCAAAATATCAAACTCCTCTGAAGGCGAAGCCCAGAGTGAACATGAGCCATGTTTTATAGTTGACTGTAACATGGAGACGTCTACAGAAGAGAAGGAAAACTTACCCGGAGGATACAGTGGAAGTATGTGAATCTCCTTTTCCAAGTCACCTTCGCTAAATAAACATGTAACAGTGCATCCATATTTTAAATTTATCACAACTTTTTCATAACTTATTTCCCCATTTACTCCTCTTTTTACTTAAAGAATGTGCATTTGATCATTCCAATGATAAACTCTTTAGGAATAGATGACTTGCTGTCTTGTGGAACTTCTAGACTTATTGGTTAAGTCTGTTAGGAATCTATTTCTCCAAGACTTTTCCTTCTTATAGGTCAAAAGGATAAGTAGTCCATAGTATGAATAACTGAGGGGAGTGAAGTCTTTTTCCTTATTCCATTGGAGTCTTGGCGCTGCAGCGTGTGTAAAGATGTATACGATAGAGAGTTTTTTAAAACCTAGGTTCTTAATAGTGAGGCTATTTAAAGAAAGAAATTAAGGTAGATTAAGCCATCGATTGTATCATAGAGAAAGTGTGAAAAACTACTTTTAGAAATCTGTTGTCAATATTGATTTTTGAAGAAACTTTGGTCAGTGTTAACTATGAAGAAACATTTAAACATTTTTGATCATTTGTAACAAGCCTTGTTTAACTTGTACTTATTTTGCTTGAAGCATCACTTGAAAAGGTTTACTCCTATTCATAATTTAATTGTAATTATAATAAACCATATCATTTTATTAAAAGTCAAAACAATAAAAAATTTTGCACTTCACAGTTATAAGCACAAATAGGTTCCAGCAACCAAAATTGAAGAAATCTTGAACTTTGACCGTCTTTACCTAAAGATTAGGTTAAAATTTGAGTGAGAACGCATTCTCTCTGCATGATTTCTCTGCTCTACAAATGTTTTAACTGCCTCTTTGAAGGTGGAGAAGTCATGGTAGCGTTTGAAATCATCACAGACATGTTACATACCTTTTCCTTGAGTATACGCTCCCCAAAATTGTTTCACAAAAAGAATGAAAATAATTTTATGTTTTTGGCCTGCTATTTATATCTTGGCTTTCTGAACATATATTAAATTTGACAAGAAACTGTATTTTATGTTCCATTAGCCTTAGTATGTGTTTTCAAAATATTTATTTTAAAATGTTGACTCAAAAGTTAATATAAAACAATAGATGTGTAAAATTCTTTGGTAGTTAAGAATATCCTGTTCTGAGGTTTACATTCTCCATCTTTCCAGTTTTCACCTTGTGTATTTTTTAAGCTTTTGAATAATAATGACATGGAAATGTAAATTAAGTAGGAAAAAGCTGGTAGCAAACAGTGTGGCATGGCCTAAAATCCCCGTGTTGCTGGGAGTGTGCTAGTCCTCGGAAGCAGGTGTGTTATGTTCTAGAACACTGCCCCCCTGCGTCGACAGCCTCCGGGGTTGGGGGTAAGTAGAAGGGGGTGAGGGGCCAGCACTAGTTGACTCAAGGCACCCTGGTGGGGACGGAGAGGTTTTTTCGCTCAGTGGTGCAGGCCATCAGGCAGGGGTGTCCAGGCAGGGCCCGGGTGCAAGAAAACATTCTGTGTGCGCTAGTGCGAGAGGATCTTCTACAGTCACCTGCCTTCATGCCATTACAGACAGACGGGAAGTCACTGGGTTCTAGGACATAAAAAGACCTACATGTTGGCTAGCCTAAATCGAACCCTTTTATAGTAATAAAGATTCATCAATGTTTTAAACTGTCCACTGTCAGCCCCCTGGGACTCAGGTGAACCAACTCTCTTTGGGAATCTATCTTAGAAGATGAAACCATAAAGCCTTCAGTTTCAATGTCAGGGATGCACACTCTATATCTGGTGAAATTATGGAGGGGTGAAAACTTCTGTACAGCAAACTGTACCTCCAAATCTTTAATGTCGAAATAAAGGGCTTTTTGCCATTTCTGTTTTCAGTTCACTTTTACTTGTTGCTGTTGTCAGTATCTAAGATACAGTGTAAAAAAGGCTTCAAAAACAAGTTACAAAGAGCTTCAATACGCTGATAGAACGGGAACTGAGCGAGAAACAATTTTGGTTTTGTTTTGTTTTGTTTTTTAGTTTTTTTTGAGACATAGTCTCGCACTTGACGCCCAGGTTGGAGTGCAGTGGCACAATCTCAGCTCACTGCAACCTCCGCCTCCCGAGTTCAAGCAAGTCTCTGCCTCAGCCTCCCGAGTAACTGGGATTACAGGCACCCATCACCATGCCCAGCTAATTTTGTTGTATTTTTAGTAGAGATGGGGTTTCACGTCTTGGCCAGGCTGGTCTTGAACTCGCGACCTCATGATCTACCCTCCTCGGCCTCCCAAAGTGTTGGGATTACAGGCGTGAGCTACCGCGCCCGGCCAACAATTTTGTTTTCTAAAATCTTTAAAATCATTAATTTTTTTCTTTTTTACTTTTTTATTCTCTTAATTTTATAAACAGTACACAGATACATTCCCATTGTAACAAAGATTGCTAAGAAGACTAGAATTTCCATCTCCTCACTTGCCTCTTTTCACTAATTCACTTCCTAACTAATGAAAGACATGCACCCGTTGTGTCTCAGGTGCTCTTCAAGTTTGTGGGGACATAGAGAATGAAGCAGCGTGCACCCTCATAGAGGAAGACAAATAGTAAATAAGTGTATAACAATGTCAGCTAGCAAGCAGTTAATGATAAAAAGAAAAACAATACTGCATTGGATAGATAAGGTGACCAACGAAGGCTTCCCTGAGAAGGTGACATCCGATCACAGGCCTGGGGAGGGAGAGGGAGCCTGTGACTCTGTCAAAATCCATGTTTCAGCTGGAGGTAACAGCAGGAACAAATGTCCTGATGGAGGAAAATGCTTGCAGGAACAACGGGGAGGCCAGTACAGCAAGGACTTCCTGAGCTGCAGGAAGGAGGTTGGAGAGGGGTAAGAGCCAGAGCTTTGGGACCTTCAGTCTCTGACAAGGCGGGCAGCTGTTTTGTTTTGAAGTGTGATGAGAAGCCATTGGGGCTTTTGAACAGGGGAGCAACCAAATCTGATTTAGGTTTTAAATGTAACCATGGTCACTGAAGAACAGACTGTGGGTTGGAGTGTTTGTCTGCACGAAGCAGCCACTGTCCACAGTTTAATATTTCCTTCCACACATTTCTTGTGTGTGTGTCTACAAGCATACAACTGCAAATAGATATTTTAAGAGAATTTTTTGCATGCATAGAATTATATTGCCTTAAAAATTGCTTTTTACAAAAGCAGTATGTCATATATTTACATATTGGTACCAGTAAATCTTCATTTTCTAATAGAGCCTATAGGTAGGGTCAGCACACTTTTTCTGTAACAGATCAGATAGTAAGTTTATTACGCTTCATGGGCAAAGAGACCAAATCGAGGTATGTAGGTACTCATGAGATGATTACATAATGAGAAAAAGACATTTTCCACAAAATTTTTATTGACACTGGAATACATTTTTTTTTGTAATACAGGTCTATTAATGAGAAAAATAAAATAATTTGTGGTGGGGGAATAATAACATTTCATTTAATTGGAGTTCAGACTGAGTGTTCCCATCACCAACATTGATTGCAAATGTTTATTAAGGCTGATTTGTAATAAGATAGATTTTACGTATTTCACTTTTGAAAATATCTTTTCACACAGACAGATACTGCTGATTCGATGTCAGTCCACAGTTAGATAATTTGCATTGAGCATCTTCATTGCTTAGAAGACGCTGATGGAATTCTCTTAGATTCTTCTCTCGATGCCTGCCTCTTAGCGTGTCCTTATATTGCAGATTCATCACTTGCAATTGAAAAATAGGTGGAAGCTCCTCAATTGTGCAGTTAAATGGGTTTTGAAATAGGAAATTCCGGCCAGGTGTGATGGCTCACGCCTGTAATCTCAGCACTTTGGGAGGCCGAGGTAGGTGGATCACTTGAGGTCAGGAGTTCAAGACCAACCTGACCAACATAGTGAAACCCCATTTCTACTAAAATTACAAAATTAGCCAGGCGTGGTGGCACATGCCTATAATCTCAGCTACTTGGGAGGCTGAGGCAGGAGAATCACTTGAACCCAGGAGACAGAGGTTGCGGTGAGCCGAGATCATGCCACTGCACTCCATCCTGGACAACGAGAGTGAAACTCCGTCTCAAAAAGAAAAAAAAAAAAAGAAATAGGAAATTCCCTTTGCTCTTGCACTCAGTCTGAAAAGTGCTGCTGTAGTTTGGGCTCAGGAAGTATGTCCACAGCCAGTTTGCATGGGAATGGAGATCTTCTTGTTTTAACCTCTGACAGCACAAGAGAGAATCGTTGCTTATGTGTGGAAATGTGTCCCACCTGACCCTTAGCACTGCCAATCACAGCTCTTCAACCACCGAAAGTCAGTTTGAATTGCCAAGTAGTTAAAGCCGACTGGTCATCCTGAACTAGTGCACAGCTTGGCTTCTAGTTGCTTTTCACGAAGGAGACACAGTTGTCCTATAGGTGCCGTGTGTTCACTAGCAAAAGCAGAAAAGTCCTTCCTATCTATACCCCACTTGTCCATGGGTTTGATACAGATTTTCTTCTTTGCTGTGTGTGATGGATTTTTACATGTCAGCACCTTGTACATACGTGTTGTGAGCTTATCTGAGCAATTTGGTCATGTCCAACTACCAGGGTCTTGTTCATCGATAATAGTCACCAGTTGTTGGAGGTCAATGATGGTTAACTACTCTTCTACCTTCTATCTACCAGATCTTGTTGAAGGCAAGTATCAGAAAGACATTTATTAAACATTTATTGGCAAGCAATTAGGAAGTGGTCCACAAATTGACCAATATGCTGAAGGCCCAGTTCTCTGTCCTTTAGTGCAGTGTCCATACTTTATCTGAAAGGTTTGCTGGAGGCAGACAACATTCTATGGGCAAGTTTCTGCAAACTTGCACTCAGCACCAGACCATCGTGTATCCTTTGACCCTGTGGTTTATTATAGGGTCATTTAGGGATTAAGCCTTGGATACCACCTCCAGGGATACCAGCCACAACTCATACTAGATGGTTATGCTCTGTTATGTGTGGGTATTGGGTTCCCCTGCAATATTTAAGCCAATTCAGTGTTCTTGAATCCATGAATTTAACCAATAAGAAACTGTTTCTCACATCCATTATGCTGATTAACAAGCTGATGATGTCACCGATAACCACTCATTTTTGTCATCCATTTTGGCTTTTAACAAAGCATCTAATATTGGGCTGGATGATTTACAGGAGTTGGGGTTTTTTGTTGTTGTTGTTTTGAGATAGGGTCTCACTCTGTCACCCAAATTGGAGTGCAGTGACATGATCGCAGCTCAATGCAGCCTCAACTTACTGGGCTCAAGTGATCCTCCCACCTCAGCATCCTGAGTAGCTGGGACTACAGACGCAGGCCACCACACTCGGCTACGTTCCCCAGGCTGGTCTCCAACTTCTGAGCTCATGCAATCTGCCCGCCTCTGCCTCCCAAAGTGCTGGGATTACAGTTGTGAGCCACTGTGCCCAGCCTATGGTATAGTACATTTTGCAAATTCTGAGCATTCAAGAGGAACTGTGAATTACTATTGTTGCAAATAAATAGATAGACATATATTCATTAAGTATGTTAAATTGTTGCACTTTTGACTCTTCAAATAATTCACAAGTGTATTAAGAACCCCCTTTCCCATAGCCTGCCAGCCTAACTCACTGGGGCTGCAAAACTAAGCAATCCTAGCAACTTGATGTGGGTTAGTCAGTCTTAACAGAAGGCTATTGACCACTTAACTGTTTGGTTGATTCATTCATTCATTTACATATTCATTTTTTATCTGTCAGATGTTTACTCCGTATCTACTATGTCCAATGTATAAACAGTGAGAGAGGTAAGGTTAATAGAAAGCTCTGTCCCTTGCTTTAAAGAACTTAGCTAAGTAGGGAAGGTACAGTCAAGATACTTTACACACAAGTATCAGGAAATTCAAAAGTCAGAGCAATTACTTTCAGTGGGAATTAAAATTGATATTGGAATGACCTCTACAACGATTACAAAGGATAAAATTCCGCATTATCTATTGAAGAGTGTTGTTTTTGTTTTTTTCAGAATGAACAAAGTGAACTTGATATTTTAATAGATGAATATGAATACAGTCTCGTTAGCAGAGTTTTACTTGTGTAGAACCCGTATAACTTGCATATATACCAAAGGTATCTCTGGAAAGGAATTTTTCCTAGGTGTCTTTTAAGATTCTTTCCAGTCTTAATATTTTGCATACTACATTGTAAAATAATTTCATATTCAAATTTTTGAAGCTTAGAAGACATTTCTCATTGGATAATGTTAAGTGTATATTTTTACATGTTAAAATTATGGATTATTCAGCCTTCAGAAGCCTTTTCAACCCTTGACTCTTGCATAGTGCATTGTAAGAGTAAATACTAATTGTTTAAATGTGTTATTAATATTAGCATTGTTAGTCTTAATTCTGTATCTTGGAAGTAGGAAAGTAGGATGTGGAGGAAAATAAATGTTAAAAATAAGAGTTATTTCTTCGGCCTTAGCTCTAGACAAAATTTGACACAAGCCAAGTTTCTCCTACAGTCTTTTCATCGTCCACTTCTTCATCTCTCCCTTTCCTAGTATTTAAGTTACATGTGTCCTTATACTGTCTTGCCCTGGATCTGGCTCCAAAGTGATCATATTAGTCATTTTCTTCTCTTTTCCCTCAGTATCAATACTTTTCCTTAATCTTGCTTATCTCTGTTGAGTAGCTGAAGGTTGTGATTTAACTAATTCACACTGAGAGGTGAGTGAGTGATCATTTACTAGCTTTCATTGATGTGTTTGCATTTTGATGGTATTATTAATCCAAACTAATTTCCAAATGGTGAAATTTCAGATAACTGAAAGATAAAAATGTGGGGTCTGTCAGATTCATTTCCGTATTTGATCATTTCGTGAAAACGAAGTCAATGAATTGTGTGTGTAATGAGGTTGGGAGGAAAATGAGAGGAAGATATATGGCTTTCACAGGGAAATGCTGTGGACCAAATTGTGTCCTTTGACCCCCACATTTATTTACTGAAGGTCTAACCCTCAATGGGATAACATTTGGATAGGGTGATCTTTGGAAGATAATTAGGTTTAGATGAGGTCTTGAAGATGGGGGCTTCATGATGAGATTAGGACCATTATAAAAAGACCAGAGAACTGGCTTCCTCTCTCTCTGCCATGTGAAGACAGCAAGAAGGTAGCCTCCTTCAAGCCAGGAAGAAAGCCTTCACCGGAACCCGACCATGGGGGCACCGTGATCTCGGCCTTCAGGCCACCAAATCTGTGGTATTTTGTTATGGTAGCCCCAGCCGAAGAAGACAGACATTCATCCAACTGGGGTGTGTTGGAGGAAGAGCAGCTAAAGAGTGCATGTTCGTTGGAATTTCTTGGAGACATTCAAAATAGATGTCCATTAGGTAGTTGGATATAGCCAGCCATACCTCAGCTGGGAGGTCTAGACAAGGTACAGAGAATTAGGTCTCTTCAGTAATGGACGACTTTATGGGAAGTGATGAAATCACCTTGGGGAGTGAGAAGGGAGCTGATGACAACCCATGAAAAAACCACACTTAGGAGCAAACACGAATAAAGAGTCATCCAAGAAGTGGGAGAGTCAGGAAGAGGAGGGTAGGTGTTTGTTTACAGACCTCCTGCCAAAAGTGGAGTCCAACTAATCTTTCCACAAATGTTTTCAGAAGTACTTTGCACTCTCAACTGCTTTGGGTTTACCGATGTCAATGTTAAAACCCACTGGCAAATTAGTGTGGCAGAGTTTATGAAATGTTTTAAATAAAATCATTTACTTAGATCATTTTTTGACTTCAGGATTTGTGAAATTGTGAAAACATGTTAACAATATCAGTCTTTTTTTTTTTTAATATCAGTCTTTCTTAAGTTTTAAAAGATTGTGTTGCATTTCTTAGAACTTTATGTTTATAAAATGCTTTACAGCCTGTTTCGTTGTTCGGCAAGAACTGAGGCAAGTGGCTATTATAAAACTTTTATTGAATACACTAGGAAGCTGCAAATTTATTCATGACTCAATAACAGAGCACTACGTCCCAAATTATATCTCTAGTCCACTGCTTTTCCGATTTTGACACACTCATGCTTCAAGTAAATATTTGTTATTTAAAAAGGAAAATAAGTGCGTAGTAGATATAATTAATAATTCTAATTATTTTTAATCTTAAAGACGATAGGAGATTGCATTCATGTTCTACCCCGGGGGATAAAGTGGGCCTGGGAGAAAAGTCAGTGCAAGTCAACCATAAAAGATACCTGAGGAGGTACGGGATCAGTCAGGATGTGACTGGTTTGAGTCTCGAGTGGATTCAGTATTAGGGATTATGGCAAAGAGTGTAGGTTGGTAGGTTTGTGGTTTAGAACTGGACCTTAAAATCTGTCCAGGGCCCAGGCTGCAAATAACAACTAGCTTGAATTCAGGAAAGTATTAACATTTTTATTCTACATCCTTTTTCACTGAGATAGGACCCTGTTTTTGAAAAGAGTGACAGTTTTTACCTTAGACTCTCCAAACTTAGTTATAGCTGGCTTTATAGCATTTTATCTGCAAAGAAGTCTTTCTCATGTTATATGATTTTTAATCTCTGAGGGCACTGATGTTAATTTCACGTTGCATTATATTTATTCATCTGCATCTACATTGTCTATTGGGTTGTGAGCTCCCTAAGTGTGGGACTATATCTTGTGCATTTTGCATCTCCAGTGGGTAGATGATTAGCTATTTGTTAATCATTAGGTAATCAACAGTGCAGTTTGGCTATCACCTGCCTGGCAGGTTCTAGTACCCCCTAGGCTGCTACATAACTTTTGCGTCAAAGTTTGCATTATACCATTGAGACCATGTTATGGTCCATGTTAGCTCCTCCTTCAAAATCCCATGTAAGTCATAAAGTAGGCAAACTGTTTGAAGGAGGAGGAAGGGTGAGAGTAAGAGGCACCCTCTGAGGCAGTAGATGAGTCAAATCAAAGTACACATTTCACATTTCATCGTGGGTTACTTAGGTCTACAGAGGTTAGCATCTAAGGAAACCACATTTCACTTGAATGAGTATCCTTTTGGTTTGTGTGTCTTCATGGCAAGACGCTGGTCTAAGGTGGAAACTTGGGGGGAGTAAAATCATCATCCATCATTTGTAGGTTGAAGCCTGAAGCTCTGTACTGAAGACTATTTTCTAGAAAATCTCAAACTGACCCCAAAAGTTAGATTAATTATTGCCTCTAATATGGAACTGCCTACTCTGAAGAGCTGTTCTTTGTCATTATTTTAAAATCTAAGAATTTAAGTTTGACGAGTGCGTAAGGTATGGGTATACATTTTCTTACATTATCAAATGGACGGAGTTGATGCTGTAGAACACTGTAACCTGATTGTTACCGACCATTGAATTAAGTGAATTGCTTGGGATATTGGAATGTAATAAACTGAAAGTTCTAGATAGATCTCAAAGAGCCAGATATATACAATTTATTTAAAAGGCCTATAACTTCCTGTTTCCATTATGCATAAATGTGATTTTTGTTTTGCTTAAGTTGTATTTGGTCCATGTAAAGTTCTAACTAATTTTTAATCCCCTTGGGTTTTAGGTGTTAAAAATAGACCAACAAGGCATGATGTTTTAGATGACTCATGTGACGGCTTTAAGGACCTCATCAAACCTCATGAGGAATTGAAGAAAAGTGGGAGAGGCAAAAAGGTCAGTGTGTAAAAATATTATTTTAAACTTTCAAATGCTGATACATCATAATGTTCTTCTCTGGGTCAATGAAACATAAACCAGTCTATCTGACTTGTCTTTTATTCTAAAAAATTGATTATGGGTAAATGCTGGAAAACTCAGAATATGAAACTGAAAGCGTTGTTTGCATTCCAGACAAAGAGTTATTATTGATAGAGCAAGCTTTCTCATATCACTTTGCTAATGCATTTCTTATAAAAATGCCTGTAGCTTCTCTCAAGCAGAGAATGTTGGTTGTGCCAGTGTTTCTTGCCATTTTATAATCGGAATAAATATTTACTAGGTAGGAGGTGAAGAATCCAAACATTCATTCACTTTTGAACTAACCAAGTCTTGACCTCAAGCCATCAGAGTGAAAGGTTTATATACTAACACTCAGGTACACCCTTCCCTTTGTGGTTTTGGCTTTAAAACCTTGCTCTTCCTCTGAAAGACTCCGCTGATCCTCTTACATGAGTAATAGAATGAGGATTTTAAATGTTTTTATCATTCAATATCTACTTGCATTGCTTAAATTTAAAATTAGCCATATATATTATACCTTGTGCCTCATTTTTATGAGGCCAAAAAAGTATAATGTAGTGAAACCTGAATTCAGAATGGTAGGGAAAAACCATACCGATTGAAAAGCAACAGATGAAAAGAATGACAGAGTAGATGGGTCTGCATGGGGCTTCCAGGTCCTGATACGCAGGCTTGAACAGATGGGCGGCTGCATTTGACCTGCGGAAGAGAAACCTGACTCCTTTGCTTCTTATCTTGGCAATGGTTAAAAGACATTTAAAATTACACAGATTTCATGAAAGTTGGCAGTAACTTGTAGAAACTTAGATTTCTTTACTGATGCTTTCTGGTTTGTCTCGGAAAAAAAAGTGGAGCAAGAAAATGGAAAGGAACCCTATTTCAGGTAAAGCAACAGATGTGGAGAGAGAGAGACTGTCAGGGTCCCATAACATGTTTGTGGCGTGGGCAACACCAAGGCACCTGCTCTACAATGGCGTTGCGCACTGTGACTCCACTGCAGCCTGCGGGACCTGCTCAGCGCGCTGCCTCCCAGGGGTGGGGCCCTTCCTAGAACGCTCGCAACACTGTGGCTGAGTTTGTGTTTTGCGTCCCAGTTTCTCAGTCTTCTTCCTACTGCTACATGGCCGCTTGACCTAGTTCATTTGGAAAGAAATAAAGAACCAGTTTCCTTTGCATCTACTACCGTTCCCGTGCCTCTCCTGCTGATGCGTCGCATGGCACCACAGCTCTGTTCTGTGCCCTCCCGCTTTACTGACCCTTTACCCTCTGCCAGTGTCTGCCCAGGGAAGCCGTGGTACCTCTCATCTCTATTGGTACTCTACGTTGTACCATGTCTGGCTTTTTTTTTTTTTAAGTGCTCAGTAAATATTGAGTGTTGAGTTACTTGTTACTCACCATAAAAATACTCCGTCCTGTCTGATCAAAAGGCATGAGGTTTGACTTTCTCATTTGCCCACAGTGGAAGTTACTGTTTCAGACGAGTGGTATTGCCTCCCTGTGCCTGGGATAGCCCTGAATCTGATGGGCTGGGTCTGTGGAAGCACTGGGTTAGGGACAGGCATCCTGGGCGGGAGTGTGGCCCCTTCTTCCTTATGAGGCATCTCACTGTAAATGGCATATGAATGGGAGATGGGTACCTGTTTGACCTTCTGGCATTCTTCTGTAGATCAAATAGTAAGTGCTCCATAAATATAAGGTGGTATTACTGTCTTGAGTAATGATAAAAGAATGAGTGGTCAGAGAGGGAGACAAAATACACAATTACAAATACACACCTCCATATCTGCCTTCAACTGCTGTGCTCAGGAACAAAAATATTTTCATATATTAAACTGCCTAACTTGCTCAAATTTAAGTCTTCTTTTAAAAATATTTTAAGAGTATTAGTAAACTTTGCCCTCATAATTTAGAATGTCATTTCTGAAACGAATCCACCACTTCTGGTTCTGTGTGAAGAATCACTCAAAGCAGGTTTTAAATGCAGATTTTCTGGGCCAGTCATGGTGGCTCATGCCTATAATCCCGGTACTTTGGGGCGGGCGGATCACTTGAGGTCAGGAGTTCGAGACCAGCCTGGCCAACATGGCAAAACCCTGGCCAACATGGCAAAATCCCGTCTCTACAAAAAACACAAAAATTGGCCAGGCCTGGTGGTGGGCACCTGTAATCCCAGCTGCTCAAGAGACTGAGGTGGGAGAATCACCTGAACCCAGGAAGGGGAGGTTGCAGTGAGTCGAGATCATGCCACTGCACTCCAGCCTGGGCGACAGAGTGAGACTCTGTCTCAAAAATAAATAAATAAATGCTGATTTTCTGGCCCCACCTGAGACCCTCCTGGCCAGCAGCTCCCGACCCCAGTGCGGCACCCCGTCCTTAACGTGGAGGGGACGAACACCTAGTGAGGGCGAAGAATCCACCTTCTGTATTGCGTCTCGCCAATAGCAGAAGGAGCAAGACCTAGGTTTCCCCTCTTTCGCAGGATTTTCTTCCTAATCCAGTCCTTATTAGTGTTCACCGCACAGCCTTTGCTTGAATGAATCAAAAACTCCTAATGCCCTAGGGTAGTGCTTCCTGACTGGGCTGCGCATTGGACTCACCTGGGGATCTGTAAGGTTTGTGGCTGCCTGGCCCCAAGCCAGACATGCTGGTGTCATTAATATGGGGTGCACCCTGGCCACTAGGATTTTTTTAAACTCCTGAGGTGATTCTAATGCAAAGCAGAGTTTGGAAACTACAGCCTTGGGACTTTTAGAATTTAAACAAGTAATTTATCCTAGAAGAAGTTTCATTTCTTTATAAACATTTCTCATGTAAAGTTGTTTCATTTTTAGACTCTAAAATTAAAGACCAAGGCTTAAAGTCCTGATTTGCGGGCTGGGTGCGGTGGCTCACACCTGTAATCCCAGCGCTTTGGGAGGCTGAGGTGGGCAGATCATGAGGTCAGGAGATCAAGACCATCCTGGCTAAGACGGTGAAACCCCGTCTCTACTAGAAATACAAAAAATTAGCTGGGCGTAGTGGCGGGCGCCTGTAGTCCCAGCTCCTCGGAAGGCTGAGGCAGGAGAATGGCATGAACCCGGGAGGCGGAGATTGCAGTGAGCTGAGATCGTGCCACTGCATTCCAGCCTGGGCAACAGAGTGAGACTCCTTCTCAAAAAAAAAAAAAAAGAAAAAAAAAAATTCCTGATTTGTTTGCTTAAAGGTTGAGTGAGTGTTTTAGGAGCGCAAATTTGATAGCAATATAGATGAAGGACGTGTTTTATTATTTTACAGGTTAGAAGGAAGAATGATATAAATTTCTTAAAAGGTAACATTAAATTTATTTTATTTTATTTTATTTTTCTGAGATGGAGTATCACTCTGATGCCCAGGCTAGAGTGTACTGGTGTTATCTCGGCTCACTGCAACCTCCGCCTCCTGAATTTAAGCGATTCTCCTGCCCCAGCCTCCTTAGTAGCTGGAACCACAGGCACCCGCCAGCACGCCTGGCTAATTTTTTAAGTTTTTTGTAGAGATGGGGTTTCACCATGTTGACCAGGCTGGTCTCGAACTCCTGACCTCAAGTGATCTGCCTTCCTTGGCCCTCCCAAAGTGCTGGAATTACAGGCGTGAGCCACAGCACCTAGCCAGCAACATTAAATTTTAAGTATATAACTTCCCAGTAGTTTGAGATCTTTTGATATGAGCATGGGGAGAGAAGTTTATGTTGATATGTGGTAATGAGTCCACAGAAACACTAAAATTTAGTTTCCTGGTTTTAAAAGTATACAGTGGAATTGTGGAAGGATTGAATTGGTGAATTAAAATTAGAAGCTTCTGAGTAGCAGCCTACAAATATAATGTTAGTATCTCAACCATTCTTTTTTTCCCATTAAATAGGTTTTACCTGCTTATTTTGTTCCTTGTTAGATTTCAAGATAAACTGTGTTAAACTGAAATTTGGAACTTAACACGGCCTTTTTTGTTTGTTTGTTTGAGATGGAGTCTCGCTGTGTCACCCAGGCTGGAGTGCAATGGCACAGTCTTGGCTCACTGCAACCTCTGCCTCCCGGGTTCAAGCGATTCTGCTGCCTCAGCCTCCCAGGTAGTTGGGACTACAGGTGCACGCCACATATTTTTATGTATAAGGACATATTAAGGTATTAGATTCTATTAAGCACAAAATTGTTTCTATTTCCTAAAGAAAACAAAATCTTGTAATTGAATATTAATGTTGAAAAAGGGAGAGTTTACAGGAAATATCTTTCACCAGCTAATGACTGAAGCAATGCCTCTACTAGAATGGAGAACAGTAAGGTCTGGGCCTGACATTTTTATGTTTTCACTTGAGAGCCAGCCTACATGCTATTTCTGTAGTGAGGAAAATGATTTGAAACTCAGATGTGTCCCGTGGCCCTAATGACTTTATTTTCTTTTTAGTTTTAAATCTGAAGTAGCACTTGCAGGTAATGTCCTATCTGGGCAGCCCTGCAGACAGGACTGTCAGTCGATGAGAGCTGTCAGTCGTGAGTTCTGAGTAATGTGAAGGTGCCAGGTAGAAGGTACAAAGGCAAGAAAGGTGGGAAGGCCTGGAGCCTGTGCGAAGAGCAGCACGGCCTTGGTGTGGCCCGGGGATGGATGCAGAACCGCGAGAAGAGAGAGGCTGACTTCAGCCACGGCCACGGGCTCTGGGGTTAGACTGCTCTCATCTTTGGTTTTCTGTAGGTTCATTGTGATTGTTGTACCAGGGTATTGTTTTTGTTGTTTATTTACTTGAGAGTCACAGGCCGTCCTGTCTTTGATCTGTTCTGGAAACTTCTCCACTGTGATTTCTTTTGCCTGTTTTCTCACGCCTCCATTGCTGGGAACGCAATCTCGTGTGCTATCCTTTGCTTCTATAGCCCATGTCTCATGATTTTCCTCTATTTCTTTCCTCTTGTATCTCCTTATTTCATTCTGGATGTCTTCTATTGGTTTCTTTTCCATTTCACCTTTGACTCTTTTTAAGTCTATTCTGATGCTAAATCCATATACTGAGTTTTAACATGTATTATTTTTCAGTCCCTGCTATTCCATTTATTTTTTTTAATTATTTTTTGTAGAGATGGGGGTCTCTCCACGTTGGCCAGGCTGGTCTCGAACGCCTGGTCTCAAACAATCCTCCTACCTCGTCCTCCCAGGGTACTGGGATTACAGGCGGGAGCCTTCATGCCCTCTATTTGATTTATAAAAACCATTTCCAGTTCTCTGTCAAAATTATTAATCCTATCTTTTATTTATTTGAACATATTATGCATATTTCTTTTGAAATAACTCCCTTTTCTGGCTCCCCTCAATTTCTGTTTTTCTTATCTGTTGTTTTCAATCATACGTTCCATATCTAATATGCCTGGTTAGTTTGTCTTTATCTTCCTAGCAGGGACTGAGATGATCTGGAGCTGGGGTTCTGTCTCTGTGAGGCTAGCTGTCCCCTGGGAGTGTGGGCTTCTGACTCTGGTTCACCTCCTCTTCCATGGGTTTCTTCTTCCATGACTCACTGACTTAGTAGCTGGGCAACGTCTGCAAATAGCTGGGGCTTGTTTGTTTGTTTGCATCTTGTCCAGCTTTTCTGAGGGCTCACAGTGAGGAGCCTATTTCAAACTACTTAGTCCACCATTCCTGGAGACGATGGGTGAATTTTAACGGCCACTTAACTTTTCTAAATAGAGTTTTGGTGTGAATGCTTCTCTGAGAAGACAGCAGTAAGAGGCCAACTCAAGAGAAATGATTTTTGAGATGAACACGTAGGTCAGTTTGCAAAAGACACACTAAACACCTGAATTGACATTAATTCAGTTTCTCTTAAAGAGTGAAAAAAACCATGATTCCATGAAGAATTATAGAATCTCAGAGCTATAACTTCCATTAGCTTTTTTTTTGGTGTAATGCCCATTTTTAATGGCAAAAATCACTCTATAAATCAGTCAGAAAAAGAGTCTGTTTTTTTTTAGACTTATTTTAAATATACTTGTTTCAAATTTGTTGAGACTTTTTTTTTTTTTTTTTTGAGATGGAGTCTCGCTCTGTTGTCCAGGCTGAAGTGCAGTGGCCCAGTCTTGGCTCACTGCAACCTCCACCCCACCAGGTTCAAGTGATTCTTGTGTCTCAACCTCCTGAGTAGCTGGGATTATAGGTACCTGCCACCATGCCCAGCTAATTTTTCTATTTTTTTTTTTTTTAATTAGTAGAGACAGGGTTTTGCCATGTTGGCCAGGCTGGTTTTGAACTCCTGACCTCAAGTGATGTGCCCGCCTCAGCCTCCCAAAGTGCTGGGATTACAGGCGTGAGCCACCACACCCGGCCTGGTGAGACTTTATTTGGAGGATCCAGTTAAGCAGTTTTATTACCTCTGTAATCTTAGCTTGCAGCATGTAGGTCATTGACATTGATAGTTATACATCTTTTCAGAGGGAGAAATAGAAAATATTATGACGAATTTTGACCTGTTTTCTTTGTTACTTGTTGAATATTGTCAGACACAGAACCCAAAGAAGCTATGTATAGATACCAGCACTCTGGTAGAAATACACGAATGTAATTTTTTTTTCTCCAAGTATTTGGTTTATTCTACTACTTCTGGATTTGGTTTTTCAAAATATTGATTATTATCCTCAGGAACATTTTTAATGTGAGTTATCAACAGGATAGCTTTTTGTAAGTGGCTCAGTTGTAGAATCTCATTTTGGAGCCATCTCTGCCAATCCAGCTTGTTGCATGTGAAGGCAAGCTGTGGGTCAGAGCACAGAAATGTTTACAGAGGCTTTCCTAAGCCTGGAGGCCTGGAGAGATGTGAAGGAACAAATAGAGCATACTTATTTTGATAGTGGTTTAAAAAAATTAAAGAATTACACACCACATAGAATGCTTAAATTCCTGAAAGTTTCTCAAATAGGGTGCAAAACAAATAATAGCTTGCATATGCTGATAGTTGCTTGTTCTTACATCTTTGCTAGAATATGAGCCCATAAGGACATAGTCTATATCCTGTTAGTCTCTTAATACTCAGCAGGATATAGCATCACAAACAAAATAAGTGCTCAGTAAATATTTTCTGAGTAAATAAGAGATGCATTAATTTCCCTTTTACTTTTTCAGTGAACATGTTTAAAACATTTTTGGTGCTCTTAACCATCACTCAGTAATGATGGAATCATCATCATGTACTTCACTTATTTTTGAATATTCTTCCAAAACTTGAGAGACTGTCTTCTTTCAGTAAAAGATGGATTCTCTTCTCCAAGGCTGTGCATGGCAGCGCAGTGTTGCTAAAGCATTGCCCCCAGAGCCAGATGCCTGGGTTCAGTCCCATCTCTGTTACTCACCTGCTCTGTGGGTTCCATGGTGTTGAACAAATTACTTAATATCTGTGCCTATACTTCTTTGTGTATAAAACAGGAATAATAATAATAGTACCAGTCTCCTCAAAGGGTTTGTGCTAATTAATTGAGTTGAAACATGCAAAGAGTTTAAGATAGTACCTCATATATAGAAGTGCTCAAAAAATGTTAGCTATTTTCTTCAGCACCAGCTTGGGTGAGGGTCATGTCTGCATATTGACTGTGCTTTGTTCTGCAGCTATAACTTGGAGTAGGTCTCTCTTACCTGCCTCCTCTTTGCCCACTCCCAGAGACCACCATGTGTCTTTAATGAAAATGACCCTCAAAACTCTGGGACAGTCCACACTGTGTTTCTTGTTGGACTTACTGACCACAGGCATGCCAGAGCCAAAATAGAGTCTTGGGCAGGGGGTGAGTATAGGAGTATAGCCTTTTCTAAAAGCTCCTTCAGTGATTCTGAGCTGATGGTCATCCTCCCATTGAGAACCTTTGTTTTGGGGGTGAGATGTAGGCCATTAGCATGAAATTGTGCTCTGTCATCTCCCCCAGGAGGCAGAAGACTGAGTTCTGCGGTCAGAAATGCCCGCTTGGGGGATCTGCTTCCTCAGTTTTCGAGAGATGCTTTCCTCATCTCCAGTATCATTAGAACCTTCCTGAAAGAACTGAGATCTTTGTGAGCTGCGATAGGGTACTCACAGCTGTCATTTATTGAGCATTGTGACCTCTTTTTAGATTGAGTTTTCTATTTCTCAGTCATATGGAAAGCTGAAAAGAAAGTATATTTCAGAGAGCTCTAATCATGTCTTTATTGCGGAGGCAGTAGATTGGGAATTACAGCTCATTTGGGTGTAGCATCCCCAGAGAAGGAGCCTTGCAGTGGAAAGAAGATAAAAGGGTCCCAGTGGTGGGAATAAAAAGAGTACTAGATGCCCAGAGGGTGGGAAAGGCCTAGCCCAGATGCAGTGTGGCCAGGCCAGCTAGGGGCAGGAGGAAAGAGAGCTGCAGGGACACAGATGCCTTCCTGAGCAGAGAAAATAGAATACTTGAGCCAATTTTCATGTAAAATGGATTATTTTCCTGGCGTTTCCTGTCCTTCAAGTAAAAGGTTCTGGAATGAGTACTTCACTGCTGTAATGGAGACACTAATATTTTATGAATGCAGTTTTACAGTTTGCAGTAATGCCAGGCCTTTGGCTGTTTTCCATTAGATGGTGCACTTGGCTGGAAGCATATACTCTTGTAGCTTTGATTTTAAATTTAACTTTCAAGTTGAAAGAGCAGTGACTCATCCAAAGGACAGGTGATATTTATTTATTTTTTCTTGAAAATGCAGCACGGGTATGTTGTTATCACACGTTTAGGGGAATTGCCACACTTCCTCGAGGATGACACCCTTTGTAAATATCCATGTAAATCATTTCCATTGTTCAGACCCGCTGTACGCAGAAAGATAGGCCCTTTAGTGCCGACCAGCCGGCCAGTGAGCTCTGTAAGATCGAAGGTGCCCTTGGTTTCCAACACAGCTGTTTCAGTGATCTGTAATTGCTTTGATAAATCACTTTTGGCAGAGTGTACCCAGAGCTGGCAGTGGCGGGGATGTGCTCGTTGTAACAGGTGTGGGGTCCATCAGCAGATGTTGCTTGATGAAGCCATTTAAAAAACAGCTGCCTCTTGATAGCCTAACAGTTGCTTTCAGCCCCCATTAGCACGTTGTTTTTTTCTTGTTATGTATGAGAGAAAATATTTCTACAGAAAACATTAAATAGGATCTTCAAAGAACTCCATCTTTTTAAAAATGTGTTTTATTTGTTCACTAACTGATTTTGCATGCATTGTAAATGTGTGGTTCAGAAATTGTCAAATGTGTTTTGGACTGGACGTGGTAGAAATGAGGACCAGCCAGGGTGGATCTCCTGTGCCTCAGTGGTCGTCTTTGGCCACGTAAAGGTAGAGGCCACCGACGGAGGACATTTCCCACTGGGAGACCCACAGGCGCTAAGAGAGGAGCTAGCCGAAGAAGTCTATTTAAGATCTGCTGCTTTGGCCAGGTGTGGTGGCTCACGCCTATAATCCCAGCACTTTGGGAGGCCAAGGCAGGTGGATCACCTGAGGTCAGGAGTTTGAGACCAGCCTGGCCAACATGGGAAAACCCTGTGTCTACTAAAAATACAAAAAATTACCTGGGTGTGGTGGTACACACCTGTAGTCCCAGCTACTCGGGAGACTAAGGCAGGACAATCACTTGAACCCAGGAGGTAGAGGTTGCAGTGAGCCAAGATCATGCCACGGCATTCTGGCCTGGGCAACAGAGAAGATTCCATCTCAGAAAAAAAAAAAAAGAAAAATTCTGCTGGTAGGCATTCTATGCACTGAGCAAAGGAGAGATGTGGAGGCCCAATTTAAATAGTTACAGCTGCTAGCTCCTAAGGTCTATCTTACTATCTGCACCGTTTGCGGGGAGTCAGCTTAATGATAGTAAACTGTGCTAAATGGGTCTAGAAATATCCAATTAATCTGTTTGAGATATTCGGAAACTCAATAGCTTGCTGAAGTAGCAAACTTGAATCCTTATTTTTATTTTAAAAGGGAGTAAAGGGACTGTAGATAAGTAAAAGATGCTCTGCACTGCGCCTCTCTGGTACCAGTCCCTCTCGTTTAGGCAGCGGCCACTTCCCGCGGAGCTGTTCACGCCAAGTGACCCTGCCACTGCGCTGCTCCCACCACCCCATGTCCACCCCGTCCTCGGACGCCTGGTCTCAGCACATCACCGGTATTCTCTTCCTCTTACCAGTAATTAGTTTGAGACTGTGACTCACTTCTGTCCAACAAGATGTGAAGGGAAGTCTTCCTGGGAGGTTTCTGGAAAGCGTTCTCTCACTTGTGATAGCCCTGGGAAGAAATGCTCCCCGGGTCCTCAGAGCTTTGTTGTGGCTGGACGCATCTTCTGGAACTGCGACAGCGGAGGAGGAAGCCAAGAGAGTGAACCAAAACAAGGAAGGGCGGAGGGCGGGGGAGGCCTGCAAACCTTACGGCTTATTTCCACTGACATCAGAGACTCATGTTAATAAGTAACAAGCGGCTTTGTTTGTTATGCTCCTCAGACACGCGGTAAGGTAGACACACAGAAATGCACAGCTGTACGTATTTGTCTTGAAGGCTAGAATTTACTTTAAATGTGAGTGGTTTTCCCAGGAAAAATTTATGTCTGTTCTCTTGAGGAATAATTATTTCCTACTCAATTTTATCTATCGATCCATCCATCCATCCATCCATGCATCCATCCATCCATCCATCCATCCGATACAGAGCCTCGCTCTGTCGCCCAGGCTGGAGTGCAGTGGCGCTATCTTGGCTCACTGCAACCTCTGCCTCCCCAGTTCAAGTGATTCTTGTGCCTCAGCCTCCCGAGTAGCTGGGACTACAGGCCCGTGCCACTACACCTGGCTAATTTTTGGATTTTTTTTTTTTTTTTTTTTTTTCCTGAGACAGAGTCTTGCTCTATCGCCAGGCTGGAGTGCAGTTGCGCGATCTTTGCTCATTGCAACCTCCGCTTCCCAGGTTCAAGTGATTCTCCTGCCTCAGCCTCCTGAGTAGCTGGTACTAGAGGCACGTTCCATCACGCCTGGCTAATTTTTTTTTTTTTTGAGATGGAGTCTTGGAGTCTCGCTCTGTTGCTGAGGCTGGAGTGCAGTGGTGCCATCTCGGCTCACTGCAACCTCCACCTCCTGGGTTCAAGTGATTCTCCTGCCTCAACCTCCTGGGTAGCTGGGAGTACAGGCGCGTGCCACCACACCTGGCTAAGTTTTTGTATTTTCGGTAGCAACGAGGTTTCGCCGTATTAGCCAGGATGGTCTCACTCTCCTGACCTCGTGATCCGCCCGCCTTGGTCTCCCAAAGTGCTGGGATTACAGGCATGAGCCACCACGCGCAGCCCTTTTTTTGTGTTTTAGTAGAGACAGGGTTTCACCGTGTTGGCCAGGATGGTCCGATCTCCTGACCTCGTGATTCTCTCACCTCGGCCTGTCAAAGTGCTGGGATTACAGGCGGCAGCCACCGCGCCTGGCCTAATTTTTGTACTTTTAAGTACAGACGGGGTTTCACCATGTTGTCCAGGTTGGTCTCAAACTCCTGACCTCAAGTGTTCCGCCCACCTTGGCCTTCCAAAGTGCTGGGATTACAGGGTTGAGCCAACGCGCCCTGCCCTCAATTATATTTATTTCTTTGCCTTTCCTTACGTCTTTAACTCTTCACACTTTTAAAAAAGTTATTGCCTTCCAAATAATATTTAGGAATATAAATTATTTGATATTAATCCAGGGTAATTTCGATTTGTTTTTAAAAAAGGGGAATAAAAACATTATTATTCAGAAGGGGTTAAATACAATGACAAAAACTGCAATTCAGAATTAATGAGGCGTTATAATAGGGTTTGTTAAAAAAATTATGAGGTATTTAAAATAGATTTTTGGCATATCCTTTTGTGACTTTTGGATAGACTTAAGACTTAGTTTATATATCAATAGTGAGTCTGTATAGGAAAAGAATATAATATTCAGTGACTGTCAAACCAGTGACTGGAGCAGCTTGGTATGAAGCGCTTCTTATTCTGGTCTCCCTAATCAGTGATTTTCAATTTTGAAAACTTTTTTTTGAAGTTGTGTTGTTTTATTTTTCTGCAGAAATATCTTCTGCTTTTCATTTTAAAGTATATTTGCTATTTATTTGCAATCTAGTTCTCATCATTAAAAGCAGTACTAAAATCTTATCCCAGAATTTATAGGTTGTGTCTTTTGTCCTTTTTTTGTTTTTAGTATTTTTCTGTCACTTTACTTCCTCAGGTGAAGTTTTAACAAAAACGAGGGACCATGGATAGGAAAGTAGGAATGAAACAGTTTACAGGGTTGAAGTTGTGGTATAATTCTTTTTTTTTGTTTTGTTTAAAGACAGGGTCTTGCTCTGTTGCCCAGGCTGGAGTGCCGTGGCGAGATCATAGCTCACTGCAGCCTTGATTGCCTGGGCTCAAGTGATCCCTCCAGCCTTGGCCTCATGAGTAGCTGAGACTCCAGGCAGGTGCCACCATGCTCAGCTAATTTTTTTTGTTTGTTTTAGAGATGGGATTTGGCTGTGTTGACCAGGCTGGTCTTGAACTCTTGGCCTCAAACCATCCACTCGCCTGGGTCTCCCAAAGTGCTGGGATTATAGGCATGAACCACCATGCCTGGCCCATGGAGTAATTCTTGTGGAGTTGGAAGGTAGAGGTGTGTACGTGTCTGTTTCTCAAAATAGTAGCACTAGCCAGGAAATCCATGAATTTGCATATTTTTCCCCAAGTTCAGCCCATTTGCTTTGGTGAGTTTGGGGTTATACTTAGAGTGGGTAGTATAAGGAGTTTCTGCCCTACACCTTAGCTTAAGCAATTTGAGCACATTGCTTTTTGAGTTCACCACCAAGGATCCAGAGCTCAGAGGCAGTCTTTCCTGTGCAGATAAGAGTGCACCCTGCCTGCACCTCACGGTCTTGGGCTCTGTGGCTTCTCTCCTCCTGCCACTGCCCCTTATTGTGGGTAGGCTGGAATTCCCTATGGTCCTTTGTTTGGGGAAGGGGGATGCTTGGATGTTCCCGGGTGTCACCTGTGCATGCCCCCTATGCTGTCCTCCCACCTGCCCTGTCCTACAAGCATGACCTGCACCCTTCTCCCACACACCCAGACCGCAGGCTTATTCTTACTCTCCCTGGCCAGCCCCTCTTCTTGGAGAGGAGAAAGGATGATGTGAAAATAAGATCTAACATTGGGGCTCCCCAGCGACTTCCACAAGGAGCAAGGAGCTAGGTGCATGTGTAGACCCCATGGGAGCTTTAGTGTTAGATACCGAGTTTGCTAGATGAAACATCTTTTTAATTGAGGTGGTGCAGATGTATTGTTTGAACACTTTAGACACTAATGATGAACTACTTGGATGTACATTTTTTTGGTTTTTTTTTTTTTTTGCTATGAAAATTAGAAAAAATATTTATCCAAGACAGTAAGTATTGAAAACTGATACTGGTGCTGTATGGATCACTATTATTGTATTATTTGAAACTGTTTGGAAAAGGTATTGTAGTTTTTAGAAAAACAAAGCAACCTGAATATTAAAAGTCTGTGAATTTGAGTAAAAAACAGTCCACATAAGGGAAAAAATATATAAGGAAGGACAATGAAGTTTTGAAACTGTTACTATAAGAAAGCTAAAGGCTGAGCACAGTGGCTCATGCTTGTAATCCCAGCAATTTGGGAGGCTGAGGCAGGAGGATCGCTTGAGGCCAGGAGTTCAAGACCAGCCTGGGCAAAGGAGTGAGACCTCATCTCTACTAAAAATAATTTTTTAAAAATATTAGTTGGACATGATGGTGGCCACCTGTGGTCCAAGCTACTAGGGAGGCTTGAGACCAGGAATTCGAGGCTGCTCTGAGCCGTGATTGTACCACTGCACTCCAGCCTGGGCAAGAGTGAGACCCTGTCTCAAAAATAAACAAAAAAGAAACTTAAAGATTTTAGTCTCAATTTTCTACACTGAACCCATCTTTAGATCATAGCATGTATAAAATTAAAAATGGGGGAATATCAACATTATTATATTTAATGCTATAGCTTATTATTGTATTTAATAAGCTACTTGTTTAAAGATCTGGGATCTCTTGGGTCCACAGACTGAGTCTTTCTGAAGGTGCTTTACACGATGTAGCTGCCAGGGATCTAGGTCATATAATATCCTCAGGATGGGATTTGAAGACATTTTTCCAGAATTTATCTTTTGTCATATTGGATTTTATTTTTAAAAATTTCCTCTATAGTCAAAATTTATATAAATATATGATTCTGATAGTACCATATATATTTAGATGGGCTTATACTGGGCGTGAACAAGGTTAATAATCTTTGTGAATATGTGGGTTATCTCCTTATTTTACTTATTCTTAAGGAAAATTAATTTCACTGTTTACCAAAGAACTGATAGCTAAACCCAAAAGATTTCAAAGAATGTTTTGTTTTTGAAATGTTTCTATTTATCACTAATAAAACGGGTATATCTGTTTAACTTGACCTATCTTTGGTCTTACTAAAACAAAATCAGCTAGACCATTTCCCAAATAATCATGCATTCAATACTCTTTTTCTCTCTCTCTCCCTGCTCCCTCATCTCTACTCCTTTAGAACTTTCAGAACATTCTTTTGTGTAGATACAGTGTTTCATGTCTGTTATTGTTTCTCACTGGTCGTTGGATTCTTTCATGTGACCACCTTTTTCACGTTTGCTCTGATTGCCTTTGGATGCGCCTAACTGTGTGCTTTTCCTGTTAAGGAAAAGAATCCTGCATGTTTTTTTCTCATCGAATAACAATGTTAAAAACAGAAAAGGGTTGTTTTTCTTCTTTGCAGTAGGCATTCTGTAGTAGATACCTTGACATACTTAAATTTGTGAGATGTGTCTAGACGAATGGAAGAGTAATATCTCATATTAATATATTGCTAATAATAAGATAAAGGTTTCAGCTTCCTGGAGCTGTCCATATAATAGAATTTGTACTTGTTTTTTCATTTCTGAGATCCTCATACTTTGGGGTTTTTTTTATTTTTTTATTTTTTCGAGACAAAGTCTCGCTCTGTCACCCAGGCTGGAGTGCAGTGGCGCGATCTCCGCTCACTGCAACTTCCGTCTCCCGGGTTCAAGCGATTCTCCTACCTCAGCCTCCTGAGTAGCTGGGATTACAGGTTTCCTGCCACCACACCCAGCTAATTTTTGTATTTTTAGGAGAGATAGGGTTTCACCATGTTGGCCAGGCTAGTCTCGAACTCCTGACCTCAAGTGATTCGCCCACCTTGGTCTCCCAAAGTGCTGGGATTACAGATGTGAGCCACCATGCCAGGCTCTGAGATCCTCGTACTTTTAAATAAAATGTTAAGATACATGCTTTATGCTTTTGCTGCCTCTCATGTTTCATGAATACAAGTAAACCCATGAGTAACTCATGAATACACATAAACTTCTGGGCCTCCAAACGATGCCCTGCCAGTGGCCATGCCACAGGAATCAGAGGCTGTACTTCACTTTGTGGTTGCTTTATTATTCCACCATTATAAGCTTTAGTAGAAAATGTAAAGAGGGTTGTTAAACTGAAGGAGTGTTGTCTCAAACTGAAGGAGAAAAGTAGTGTTGCTGCTGTAAGATGTACATAAACTAAGGGGTGTCTTTTCTACCATCCAGTTAGCAATTAGGAAAGTCCTTCTTTGCTCATACCATTCCAAAGGGAGTCATCTTATTCTTTCTCTAAATTTCCTTACAATGGAGGCTGCTACAGTTTAAGTATCGAAGGTCCTTTTTTTTCAGATTTCACCTGCAGTGCCTATAAATTTGGGGGAATGCCTTTTTTGGGGGGTGACCAACATACTCAGTGGATCTTGGACCTACCACCAAGTGACCTTCCTTGCTCACCTGTAAGGCTGAGAACACCGTAAGCAAAGTACCAGGCTTCTTTCCCCAAAAGGGCTTTGTAAGCGTTGGCGCCATAAAATCAACCTGAGGACTTAGGTGGCTGGTTATTTCTGAGTAAGTGAATATCACTCTCAAATACGACATTCCAGCAAAGGCCATGGTTGCATAGCCACTGTTTTTAGTTATGTCCTGGTAACTAGGAAGATGGATTGTTTTTTAATCTATGCAAATAATTATATTGCGCTGAAAAAAATGATACTCAATTACAGTTTCACAATTCTGGAGGGATCAGGCAGGGATAATAAGATACCATTTCCAGATGTTTCCTTTCTGTTTATAAAAGCACAGTCGACTGAATTGTTAGGAGATACAGGCAGAGGGAGAAGAGAAAGGGTTCCTTATGTATCCAGAATATAGAGTGTTAAAATAGCAACAATACTGTAAACAAAAGCCGCAGTCCTCCTTCAGTAGTTCATCTGGGCCTAGTCATTAATTTTTGTTCCACTTGATCTTGGGTTAGCAGTCTCATGAATCCGTCTGCTTCTCAATGAGGGTTATAGAAATCCTCTTCCCCTGGTGGGGTCTCAGCATTATTTAGACAATGCCATAAGAAGCCTGTACCCAAAAGTACCCAGCATAGTTCTTCTCCACGGGGCTCTAACACAGCCCCCTCTTGGTCGAAGGTAAGTCACTCTGGCCTATAGCTAATTGCAGATGCTGATCAGGGAAGTGTCAGAGAAAAACAGAAATCTGTAGGTGACAAAAGATTTTAAATGGCTATGGTTCTCGTATTACTGATAATTTTCAAAACTAAATTTATTGAGAGTTCATTACAACAGTATTGGCAACTGATAAGTAAAGTTAGTTATGGTGTGCAAAACAGAGTCAACCCAAAAAAGTTCTAGATACAGCATCTAGAAACACCATAATTAACCTTATTTTAAAAGAACAGTGGATGTTGCATCTAATTTATAAAAATGGAAGAACATAATCTTTACAGAAAAAATCTTCAGATATAACAAAATAGTCCCAAGACATAATATACAATGAATATGCCAAGCATATAATTAGAATAGACCAAGAATATCACATCAAGAGGGTTATTTTAGAGGGGACATAAACACCTATGTATTAATAACATATATTTAACCTAGGGCTGGCTATCTTTTTTGATGTGACAATTTGTCCCATATAACTTATCAATAGTAACACATCAAATGGATCTCCTAATTATTTCAAGCATCTGTTTTTTATTAAAGTAAAAGCACAAATACTTTTTATTTTCCAGGTATGTCTGGGGAATCTTAGACAGTTTTTTGTTTTGTTTTGTTTTTTTGAGATGGAGACTCACTCTGTCGCCCAGGCTGGAGTGCATTGGCCCGATCTTAGCTCACTGCAACCTCCGCCTCCTGGGTTTCAAGCCATTCTCCTGCCCCAGCCTCCCAAGTAGCTGGGATTACAGGTGCCTGCCACCATGCCTGGCTAATTTTTGTATTTTTTAGTAGAGATGGGGTTTCGCCATGGTGTCCAGGCTGGTCTCGAACTCCTGACCTCAGGTAATCCACCCGCCTCGGCTTCCCAAAGTGCTGGAATTACAGGGATAAGCCACCATGTCCAGCCTCAGACAGTTTTAAGTACAAAATATATCATTTAGGATTTGATTTGCGGAAGGCAAAATATCAAAAATTATCAAGAAATTTTGAATACCTGATTCCAATAGGATCATGTAACTTAGAAACAATTTTTGACTACCTATTTAATCAAAGTGACTGTAAAAGGTTTTAAAAGTAAACAGAGAGGTAACATGATTGTAAAGAACCTTAGCTCTTTCCTAAGAGACACGATTTCTTGAATACTCAAGGGTAAAATAAAGTCAATATAAACCATAGAAGGTTATTCTCATAAAACACAGAATCTTTGGAATCTAAGCCAATTATACAGAAAAAAGAATAAGCCTTTATTTTTTAGGTGAATGTGGTAAACAGTAAACCAAAGAAACAGGCTCATCAATATTGGGTAAACTTTTCTTTGTTTTTAAATGTTTAGTCTTTAGTTTTAAGAGATCATCTGCATTTTTTCTGTAATAAACTTAAAAGATATCCACTTATATTTCTTCAGATTTATTAATTCTGTAGCAATTTAAGCATTGAAATGACAGTTTTTCTCTCAATCCTTTTTTTTTTTTTTTTTTTTTTTTTTTTGAGACGGAGTCGGGCTCTGTTGCCCAGGCTGGAGTGCAGTGGCACGATCTTGGCTCACTGCAAGCTCCGTCTCCCCAGGTTCACGCCATTCTCCTGCCTCGGCCTCCCAAGTAGCTGGGACTATAGGTGCCCACCACCATGCCCGGCTAATTTTTTGTATTTTTAGTAGAGATGAGGTTTCACAGTGTTAGCCAGGATGGTCTCGATCTGCTGAACTCGTGATCTGCCCACCTCAGCCTCCCAAAGGGCTGGGATTACAGGCGTGAGCCACCGCGCCCAGCCTGTCTCAATCCTTAACAATGCTATATTTGTTGTATTTCATATGTTTAGCTTTCTCATGGAGAAAAAGAAACATAGGCATAAACCTTTATACTATCCGCCTGCTGGTCCTGCAACATGAGTTTAATAAAGCGTTCCTGATACTTAAACAATTTCTATGATGTCAGCAGAGAGATATCAGCAAGAGTGATTGTAAAGTAGCTAGCCTTATAAGTCAAGAGTTATAATCTTTGATCCACTGCTCAATCCATTTCAAGATCTGATCTACATTATTTTCTAGCTCTTCTGGTTTATTGCTGGGCAGCCGATGCACAACTTCTTCCTTGTAGGATGCCGTGGCTTCTTCATAAAGAACTTGGAAAATCTCACACTGAATATTGTCTTTTAGTTTCTTCTCATTATAACCCCTCATTTGAAGTATTTCGTACAATATGTTGGCATCTATTCTCAACACAAAAACTATGTGAAACCAGCGTTCAGGGAAGAAATCACAACCGTGGTAATCAACAATAACTCCACATTCTCTCATTTGGTTATCTAACTCATCAGCTACTCTGTCTTCATCTAAAATGGGACAATTATACTCTTCATCATAGTCGTCATACAATTGCTTTTCTCAAGCTAAATCACCCACATTAATGTATTTCAATCCTGATTTTGATTCTGATATGTGGTTTTTCCAACCTCTGGTGTACCTGGCTTTCTATGACACGTTTCTATCACCAAGTCAGAACAAAGTGACACTTTAGGACTGAACTCAGGGAGTCTGTGGGGTCAAAACTAATTTCATAATACTACTAAGACTTTAACATGCAATGGGTTCACCTTGCTGTCTCCAAAAAAAAAATTGCACCACTGCACTCCAGCTAGGGCAACAGAGCAAGACCCTGTCTCTCAAAAGTAAATAAATAAATAATTTAAAAAATTATTGTTAAAAAAAGTTTGTCAGGTTAATGATTCAATTTGATTAAGCACAAATTTACATTTTTTCATAGTCTTAAACTTTACGAGTAACGTTCACTTATTTGATCAGTAAATCTGTATAGCTTTTGTAAGAACATGTAAAAGTAGAATAGCAATGTATAGTGTGGCTGGGCACAGTGGCTCATGCCTATAATCCTAGAAATTTTTGGAGTCCAAGATGGGAGGATTGCCGAGGGCAGGTATTTGAGACCAGCCTTGGTGACATAGCGAGAGACCCCATCTTAAAAAATAAGAATAATAATACTTAATGCTGACAACTCATAGAAGACATGACTATTTTTATTAAACCCCAAATATTCAACTAGTCTCATTTGCCAAATATTTACCTAAATGTGTGAACTTGAATTCTTAAAACATTTACGTTTCTATAGGAATACTTTTTTTAGTGCTGTTGAAAGTATTATTGGAAGTTCAATTTCCTTAATTTCTGGGAATTTTAGGAAGATTCAATTTATAGGTGTCTCTTTATTTCTAAGCCAGTCAGAACAGAACATCCTTAAGAGCTATCACATTCTCACTTGGTAAGACCATCTCATGATGGTTATCCCAGGATGAGAGACAATAGCTGCTTTGAAAGTTCCCCTGCCACACTGGGCTTCCAGTACCAGTGCAGCTAATGACCCTGCCCTAACAGCAAATGCTGGGGAGCAGGGTGCAAGTGTTTACTTGGGTGCCCTTCACGGGCACTCCTTTTACGTGGTGGACAGCCTGATGCTTTGTTCTCTAAACCAGTATCAGGCATTCCTCTCATGGGAGATGTGCTTATCCTGGCAGACGCCCTTGTGGCTCTTTTCTGACCCCTCTCCAGTTTATGACTGCCTGACCATCGCTCTGGTGCTCAGAGCCTGCCCTTGTGTTCCTCCCCAGCATCCCGGGGAAAACCCAGGTAGCCTGGGAGAGCCCCTGGTTCTTCAGATGGAATGTGCAAATTCAGCACACCAACACGATAGGAAATAAGTTCCAAGATTTATTACTTCCAGATCCTAGAGAGGGAGGGCGCCATGAGTCGGGAGGGCAATGCTCTATCCCCAGGTCACCAGAAGAATGAATGAAGTGTCAGGCATAGAGCAAGAGAGAGTGGGACCCATGGGCCACCACCTTTACTGGGGGCCAGGGCATTGTCCAAGCAGGTTTCCTGCAGGGAGTTTTAGTTGGTGAGTTTAAAACAGGCAGCCATGAGTTTCAGGATCACACAGCAACTGAGAGGTGGTCCCTGTGGCATACTCCACAGTCCATGTGGGGTGTGGGGTTGGCAGGGCAGCCAGGTAGACTGTCTCTTAGAGAGGCCGTCACCAGAAAGAGGAGGTGTATAAGGCAGATCCCTGGATCAACCCCATTGAGGACTGGGGGTGGCAGGTGGAAGCTGTCGAGGGAAACTAAGCCCTGTTTCTGGTATGAGAAGGTTAAACTTATCATCAAAATAGATGCCAAGGCTATATGAAACTGTCAGTATTCACTACAGTGGCATTTCCACAGTACAATACAGACATACAAACAGACATAGATAATTTGTAAGCTGTAATTCTAAAATTTCAGGCCAGGCGCGGTGGCTCACCTCTGTAATCCCAGCACTTTGGGAGGCCGAGGTGGGTGGATCACCTGAGGTCAGGAGTTGGAGACCAGCCTGGCCAACATGGTGGAACCCTGTCTCTACTAGAAATACAAAAATTAGCTCGGTATGGTAGTGGGCGCCTGTGATCCCAGCTAGTTGGGAGGCTGAGGCATGAGAATTGCTTGAACCCGGGAGATGGAGGTTGCAGTGAGCCGAGATTGCACCATTGCACTCCAGTCTGGGCAACAAGAGCAAAACTCCATCTCAAAAAAAAAAAAAAAAGAAGAAGAAAAAAATTCAGTCATAGACCAAACTTAAAAGCAGAAATATAAAATTTTACTCAGATGTGTACTTCCTGATGGCATGAAATTCTTAATTGTTTTGAAACCAAAGTAGAAAAGCAGACAAACGAAAAATACTAGCAAATCAGATTCTGTTATCTTTCACCCAACAGAGACAAGATCTCTATAAACCAGCAGTCCTTCCCCAAATACGTAGTATACAAACCGCTTCATGTCTGTCATTTTCGTCAACCCTGGGGTCCTTCAAATGCCTTTTGTTCCTTCTCATTTACTTCACCTTGACTTTTCAAGACATATTGGTTATACTACACAGTTGGTTACATTTGAAGTATTTCATGTAAATTACAAAAGTATATGAATAATGTGAATTCATTTTTGTTTATATATGTATATGCATGCATACACATACACACACACTCCTATAGAGTGAACATTTGGCTGAATATACTGCCAAATTGTTAAACAATAGTCATTTCTAGCTGGTGGAATTACAGGAAAATTTGTGTTTCTGATTATATATTTCTATAGCATTTAAATTTTTTGCAAGTCAGCGTGCATTTCTTAGATAAGCAAAAAAAAAATTAAACATTTTATTTAAATTTTTTTCAATTCCAGTTGATAGCAGATGTCAATAGAACAAATAAGTTCCCTTATCCATGCTTCTGTATGTGGGGGATTCACTTGACAGGTGCAACAGAAGCACAAGCATTATTGTGCACCTGTGTCTGAAATGAGAATGAGGCTGCCTAGAAGTCTTGAGAAAAGTGGCTGACGAGTCTACAAAAACACCCTTCTTACCCTTTCTCACTTTGAAGTGCATGAAGACGTTGACACACTTGGAGGTCTGCTGGCTAACTGGTGGAACAGATTCCTGGGGGAAATTTTTTTGTTTTGCTCTTGTACCTCATGTCTGGATTATTTTGGATTGCTTTGGGGACAGTATCTGAGTTTCTATCTCTTGGCCTGTTTTTTCCAGGAATATAAAGGTTTTTTTTCTTTGACATATGCTTAAATGTTTATTTTTAAGTGATGTAACTTTTCAAAAAACTTATTACAGTTTATTTCTGTGGGAAAAATATTTTTTATGTTTTTGACTGTTTTTTGTTCCTTCTTGTTTGAAATCTCTAGCCAACAAGAACATTAGTCATGACAAGCATGCCATCTGAGTAAGTACTTGTTTTGATTTCTGTTCAATGTAAAATGTTAACCTTTTCTCTCTTATACTCTAATTCTGGGTGCCTTTAGGCAACTTGTCAATCTGTCCTGTATCACTTTTACTTTATAAAATTAATATCTGAGTTAGAAGATCACTGAAAATTAAACATGTACCAAATGTGAGCGACTTAGCCTTGAAAACTCTGGGGTTGTTTAGGCAGCATTAAGAGGTGTGTGCTCGTTTTGGTGTTCTTTTGCTTGCTTGATACCAAATAGCTTCATGAATGTTCAAGAAGTGGAACATCATTGACCAAAACATTTCCCTTAAAGGTCTTAAAGCAATACTGCAGCAGAAAGCTTTCCACAGCAGTGTTAAAGTTGCTATGTATGCATTTTGTGGAAGGGTTAATAGCTTGTTGGCATGCTCTTATCATCTCCCTTAAACATTTAACACAACAAAGAACATCCAACAAAAATACAGTGCTATATTCTTTGCAACAGATTTTTGAATTCCTGTTTAAAGGGGAAAACCATGTTTTTGATATCAATCATAGGTTTTAAGGTTTTAAGACATCCATCAAAACATTGGAACATTTCAGTGAAAAATATGCTGCAGAGAGGGCACCTTTAGAACATTTTCAGTAGTGGGATCCTTTTCCTGCCTGGGGCTTAGAAATAAAAGCACTGATCATCAAACACCATACATTATATAGTGAAAAAGGGGGTCACTCAAAATTTTTGTAAATATATTATGAAATATATTGAACATTCTAAATAGTCTAATACAGAAGCGAATATTGAATATATGTGTAATATTTTTTAAAGTCTTTGTATTTTTCCAAAATAAAAGAAAAATTACTAGTTAACTGCTTATTTTCTCATTCAAGATTTAAAAATAAAACTTTTCATTTAGGCCGTCTTCTTGTCTTACTCTTTTTTTCTCCACATGGACTTCTTGTGATACTTAAGAATAAGACCTGGACATTCTGATTTTATGTGGATTAGCTGAGCCTTGCAGAGACACTTGTTACTTACTGGCACATCCAGCAAGCAGCTGCCAGCCTCAGGATGGAGTTCTAGGGAGTGTGTAGTTTAGAGCTTTTTACTTTTTGTTTTTGTTTTTGTTTTCTTTTATCATTTTTGCCTTTATTTCTTTCCAAGTTTAATTATTTTTCTTGACTCAAGCACACATTCTCGGGTTGAAGTAGTGATGAGGCCCAGATCTTGACTCACACATCTTTTCTACCCTAAGGATCTCTTAAGAATTTAAAAGCATGATATAATTCAGCCCTTTCATTTTACAGATAAAGAAACAGGTTTTGAGATGGACATACCTAAGATCACTAGAGATAAAACTAAGAAGGCTGGGTGTGTTGGTTCACGGCTATAATCCCAGCACTTTGAGGGTCCCAGGTGGACATATTGTTTGAGCCTAGGAGTTCAAGACCAGCCTGGGCAACATAGCAAAACCTTGTGTCTACAAAAAAATGCAAAAGTTAGCCAGACTTGGTGGTGAATTGCCTATAGTCCCAACTACTTGGGAGGATAAGGCAGGAGGATCACTTGAGCCCTGGAGATCAAGGATGCAGTGAGCCATGATTGTACCACTGCACTCCAGCCTGGGCAACAGAGTGAGACCCTGTCTCAAAACAATAAAATAAAACTAAGGAACACCATCATTTGGAAGGAAGAGTGTTAGAGGCAGTCTGTATAAGCATAGACAATAACCTCTTCCCCTTTGTAATATAATTTTTGGAGAGGAGAGATGTTTATTTCTTTTTCTATTTATTTATTTATTTATTTATTTATTTATTTATTTATTTATTTATTTTGAGACAGAGTCTCCCTCTGTCACCCAGGCTGGAGTGCAGTGGCGCAATCTCCTCCCACTGCAAGCTCCACCTCCCGGGTTCACGCCATTCTCCTGCGTCAGCCTCCTGAGTATCTGGGACTACAGGCACCCGCGACCACGCCCGGCTAATTTTTTTGTTTTTTTAGTAGAGACAGCGTTTCACCATGTTGTTGTATATATCACAGTGTGGCTTAGAAAGCCCTCCATTGGGGATTTTTTAAATTTTCTGGGAGAGAGAGAAAACTAATGTCAGAACTAATGGCATAGAAAGGTTATTATAAAAGGGAAGAAAGAACTGAGGGTTGTTTGGTAAGGAAGTTGGACGGAAAGAATATATTTTTTTAAAGGATATTTTAAGTATTAAGGGAATGACAGAGCAGGAGATAAGCCATAATGGTCATGAGCTTTGTGACAAATAGGTCCCAGATTTGATTTGATGATTTAATAAAAAGGGTCTTTTTTCCCCTCTTAGTAGAAAAACTATGTGTTGATACTCAATAAATATTACATTTTCAAAATAAAATAAGTGAGGTTCTTGGTTCTGAGCATGCACAGATAGGTTCAAATAGGCCTGAAAAACAAATCATTGCCCCAGTGGGAAGAGTGTTGGTCTGATGTCAGGGGCCTGGTTCCTTTTTTTCTTTTTTCTTTTTTTCTTTTTTTTTTTTTGAGACGGAGTCTCTCCCTGTCGCCCAGGCTGGAGTGCAGTGACACGATCGCGGCTCACTGCAACCTCCACCTCCCGGATTCAAGCTATTCTGTCTGCCTCAGCCTCCTGAGTAGCTGGAACAACAGGCGCGTGCCACCACGCCTGGCTAATTTTTGTAGTTTTTAGTAGAGACGGGGTTTCACCATGTTGGCTAGGCTGATCTTGAACTCCTGGTGATCCACCCGCCTCGGCCTCCCAAAGTGCCGGGATTACAGGTGTGAGCCACCGCGCCCAGCCAGGGGCCTGGTTTCTGATGCTGGCTCTGTCCCTACCCAGCCCAGCCACTGTGGGAAGCCATTGACAGCCTGTGGGCTTGTCTTCTCAGCCATTAAAATAGAATTGAGATCTGAAGTTTATTTCCCCAGGTTTCAAAGCATTGATTATAAGTCAGTTAAGATATACGTACCATAACCAAAATCAGTTTCAAATTTTGGCTTTCTAGTTTTATTAGTACTAATATTGAGTGTAACTGCTTTGATGGGCATGTGCAACAAAGTCATTCATTTTGTTAATTTTTCCCCCGATTTGACAGAAAGCAGAATGTCGTCATCCAGGTTGTGGATAAATTGAAAGGCTTTTCAATTGCACCAGACGTCTGTGAGACCACGACTCACGTGCTTTCCGGGAAGCCACTTCGCACCCTGAATGTGCTGCTGGGAATTGCGCGTGGCTGCTGGGTTCTCTCTTATGATTGGGTAAGCCCTGTGTGTGAACTGCGTATTTTAAAACAAGGCATTTTGATAGAGTGGGTCACCCTGAGGTGCCGACATCAGCACTCAGGCCGGCGTGCACCCTTGTGGATCTGCACACTTTCCTGTGAGCTGGGAACACCCGTCTTTCCTCCTGTTGGTCTCCCGTGGGCTGCTACCCTTCAACCAGGGCCAAGTTCTGGGGCAACAGGAGGACGGGGAGGGTAGAGAGCAGGAAGTGAGTAGCCTCTAAGATAAAGCAGAAGCAAGATTACAAAGATGCTGAAAGAAACGCAAGATGCATGTTCTCACAGTCAAAGAGCTTTCCTCTATGTGTGACCAAGAAACATTGTGAGCTGTGGTGGTGGTGGTTTGCAGAGCCAAAATAATTCAGTGATTGTTTGTACAGATGGATTTACTTAGGATGAAGGATGTTCTTTTAATCCCATTTGGATAGGTTTTATCCTATGTATATCTATCTGTAACATTATTTGCCCTTGTTTCTGTAGATTAAAGATAGCTTTTAAAAATACATAATTATTTTCGTTATTCATAAAAACTGAAATGAACTGTTATTGGTTCTATTATTACTTTCATCCTCAACCTAAGGTTGCTCCAAAGCATTCCTTTCTGGTGACAGTAGCATCACTTGTTACGTATGTTACCATTCTGCATCTGTGGTATCCGTCTTCCCTCCTCCTCTCCCAAGAATGTATTCTATTCATACTCATACTGTGTTCATTTAAACCAGTAGAATTATAACATGCAAAAGCTACACATGTATTTTCAAGAATGGCCGTCGTCTTTTTTCCGTGTTGTGACAGAGGTTAAAGAGATTAGTGCTTCTAGTTGTGAAGTGGAAAACGTTGAAATTCCAAAAGTAAGCACTGTTCATTTGCATTGGTGGCAATGGGGGATCACCTTACCTGATTATATATTAGTACTGCTTTATGTTTATTTGGATGAAAGACAGTAGTGCCCCTCTCATCCAGGGTTTTGTTTTGTGTAGTTTCAGGTACCATGGTCTGAAAATATTAAATGGGAAATCCCAGAAAATAACAATTTATAAGTCTTTAAATGCATTCTTTTCTGACTAGCATGAAGAAATCTCAGGTTATCTGGCTCCATTCTCCCTGGGATGTGAATCGTCCTTCAGTCCAGCCTGTGCATGGAGTAGGTGCTGCTTGCCCTCACTTAGTAGCCATCTTGGTTATCAGATAGAATCTCGTGATTTTGCAGTGTTTGTCTTCAAGGAACCCTTATTTGGCCTAATAATGTTCCCCAAGCACAAGAGTATTGATGCTGACAACTTTGATATGCCAAAGAGGAGCTCCAAGGTGCTTTCTTTAAGTGAAAAGGTGAACGTTGTCCACTTAATATGGAAAGAAAAATGGTATGCTGACGTAGCTAAAATCTATGGAAAAAATGACTCTTTGACCTGTGAAATTGTGAAGAAGGAGAAAAAACTGTGCATACTATATATATAGGGTTCAGAACTATCCACAGTTTTAGGCATCCCCCAGGGGGCCACGGACTGTGCCCCCTTTGGATAGGGTGGACTACTGTCTCTTTAATAACTCTAGCATCAGTGAATGAGTTCTGTGTTTTATTTCTCTCCAATTCAAATCGTCTCTGTGTCTTCATCTGACTACTCTCCCTTCCCTCAGGTTTTGGAGGAAAAAATGTTATTTCTAAGGATATGCATCTGTACAGGATTCCTTACCCAACTTATTCTTCTGGGACTTGGAGCAGTCCATAGAGGTCAGACGTGAGAACGTACTGCCTTTGCTGTCGACATGGATAGAGACCTGCTCCCTGGTTGTCTGCATGTCTCTGCTCAGTGTTCTGCTAGTACTCCACAGCTAATCATACATAGAAACAGAACTGGGTGAAATTTTAGGTTATTGTATCTCTTCTGGGATTACCTGATATGATAAAGGTGGGCATTAAAACACATTATTTAATAAACTTCTCACCTTTAGTCTAGACTCCTTGCCTGGAGGGAAGAACCTGGGGCACTCAGACACATAAGTGAATGAATGAGGTACAAGGCAATCAGACAAGAAAAGATAATAAAAGGCATGTAGGTTAGAAAGGAAGAAATAGAGTTATCTCTATTTATAAACCACACAATTTTCTATGTAGACAAGTCACAAGCAATCTACAAAACAGCAATTAGAGGTGACAGCTGAGTTGAGCAAGTCATCCAGATGCAAGAATTCCATTGAAACTTCAGTATAAAGCTAATAAAATAAGTGCAGGATCTGTGTGCTGAAAACTACAAAATACTGATTTTAAAGCTCAAAGAACTAAATATATTAAAAGACATACAATGTTCATGGATTAGAAGACATAGTACAGTGAACATGTCACTTCTTCCCAAAATGATGTATAGATTTAACACATTCTCATTCAAAATCTCAGTGGACTCTTTCAAGATACAGACAAACTGGTTCTAAAATTTCTATGGAGATATTAAGGAGCCAGAATAGCCAAAACAATTTAGAAAGGAAAGAACAAGGAGGAGGACTGGCACTACCTGCTTTTGGGGCATCCTTTCAAGCTGTGGTCCTCAAGGCAGTGTGGTATTGGTGGACACACAGAACAGACAGAGAATCCAGAAATAGACCCCCAAAATACATCCCATGGGTTTTCACAAAGGCATGAAGGCAATTCAGTGGAGAAATTCAGTCTTTTGAACAAGTGGTGCTGGAGCAGTTGGACATACACAATCAAGAAAAGGAACCTTCCCAACACTTTGGGTGGATCACCTGAGGTCAGGAATTGGAGATCAGCCTGGCCAACATGGTGAAACCCCGTCTCTACCAAAAATAAAAAAACTAGCTCGGCATGGTGGCACCTGCCTGTAATCCCAGCTACTCAGGAGGCTGAGGCACAAGAATCACTTAAACCGGTGAGATGGAGGTTGCAAAGAGCCAATACCATGCCACTGCACTGCAGCCTGGGTGACAGAGAGACACCCTGTCAAAGAAAAGAAAAGAAAAGGAGAGGAGAGGAGGAAGGAAGGGAGAACCTCATTCTATACCTTACACGAGCCACAAAAATTACCTCCAAATGGATCATAGACAAAATTTAAAGGTATAAAACTTCTATAAGTAAACATACAAGAAAAATGATCTTGGTGTAGGCAAAGAGTTCTTAGATACACCAAAAGCATGATGAATAACAGAAAACATAGATAAGTTAGATTTCATCAAAATTGAAAGCTTTTACTCTGTGAAAGATATTATGAAGAGATCAGAAGAAAACGTTTGCAAATCTTATATCTGACAAAAGATTTATGTCTGGAATATATAAAGAACTCTTAATACTGAACAATAAGAAAACAGAACAGCTCAAACAAAAAATGGCAAAGAAAAGATTTGAATAGACAGTTTACTGAGGACACACAGATGGCAAATAAGCATCTAAAAAGATGCTCATCATTATTGCTCACTTCAGAAATATAGTGAGATCCACTACATATCCATTAGAATGGCTAAAAGAAAAAATAACAGTCGCACTCTAGCAAGGAGCCAGGGCAGCTGGAACGGCTGCTGGTGTGTGTGGGAAGTGGTCCAGCCGCTTTGAGAAACAGTTTGACAGTTTCACAGAAAGCTAAATGTCCACTCAGCAGTCCCACTCCCAGATATTTGCCTCGGAGAAATGAAAGCTTGTGTTCACACAGAGTCTGTACGCGAATATTTGTAGCAGCCTTACTTATCATCAGCTGGACCTGGAAACAGCACAGCTGTCCCTCCAGTGGGTGAATGGATCAACCAGCTGGACCAACCATACTGTGGAGTGTCACTCAGGAGTCGAAAGGAATGGTGATAGGTACAGCAGCTTGCATGACTCTCAGGGGCATCATGCCAAGTTGAATAGCTGGTCTCAGAAGGTCACATGCTGTATAAGGCCATTTCTTTGTCATTCTAGACAAGGCCAAACTATAGGGAAGGAGAACAGATGAGTGGTTGCCGCGCATTAAGGTGGGAGTAGCATCTGCCTCTGCAGAACAATAGCAGCTGTCACATCTTTGGGGCATTGGAATTGTGCTGTGTTGTTAGTGGCAATGGTTACAGAATCCATGTATTAAAACACAGAGAACTGTACACACATATGCACACACGAGTAAATCTTATTGTTTCTAAATTTAAATTAAGAAGAATATCTAGGCGGGGTGCAGTGGCTCATGCCTGTAATCCCAGCACTTTTGGAGGCCGAGGCGTGTGGATCACGAGGTCAGCAGTTCAAGACCAGCCTGGCCAAGATGGTGAAACTCCGTCTCTACTAAAAATAGAAAAATTAGCTGGGCACGGTGGCAGGTGCCTATAATCCCAGCTACTCAGGAGGCTGAGGCAGGAGAATCGCTTGAACTTGGAGGGAGGAGGTTGCAGTGAGCCGAGATCACGCCACTGCACTCCAGCCTGGGTGACAGAGTGAGACTCTGTCTCAAAAAAAAAAAAGTATATCTTACATATCTAACGTGCTTTCCAAATGGAGATGTTTGAGCACTGGTAGGACCGGGCTAGTGTCTTGGTTTCAGAACTAGGTTTCCTTCTGTGTGCTGAAGTTTACAGGCTCCTGTACCTTCAACTGCTGCCTCTGTACCTATACTTCCTGTTAGCACTGAAGCTTCATCCCAGCTTTTCTATCTTAAAAAAAAAATGAAAAGAATTTAAAAACATAACTTTCTCTAAATTGCTCTTTGCCCTCTGTGCTACCTTTTTTTCCCCTCATTCATGGCAAAACGTCACAAATGTATGTCTGTATTGCCCTTGCCTTACTGATGATGTCGCTATTTGTTAATAGTATCAACTCTTGGGAGATTGCGAAGGCTCAGGTGGCCTATGGCTTCAGGTGAAATATCTGTTTGTGTGATTACAAGGTAACCATGATGGCAGTCAGGTATATCACACATATATAAATGACACAAACAGATATAAATATATGTTTGTGTGATTACAAGGTAAACGCAATGGTAACCGCAATGGTAACCACGATGACTCTCGCTGGCACAACAGGAGTATTGATGTTCACAGGTTGCTCCTGACTTGCACCCTCAAAAAGTTTAGAAACAAGCCGAGTCACTTTCTCTGTTCATCTCAGTCTTCAAGAAGACAAAGATGACTGCTGCTTCTTGCATGGCCCCCCTCCTTTAACTTTTAAATAAATTGAATAGTACAAACATAAGAAATTTGAGAGAGGATAGTTGCCACCACCATTTACAAAGCCATTCTACATAATTTTTAAAGCTTAGCACCCACTTTAATATTTATCTATGTCTTGCATATAACTTCAGATATAAACTTCACAGTTCCAATTTCTTTTAGGGTCAAGATTTAAAGTATCCATATCATATATTATATACATTGACTTTGTGTACAAGGAATCTCTCTCTCTCTCTCTCTCTCTCTCTCTCTCTGGCACTCTCGCTCTCTCGCTCTCTCGTCCTCCTCCTTCTAACCCTGTCTCCAATGTAGTTGGGGGATTCTTAAAATATTCTCTTTGGCTAGCAGTATAAACTGGCCTCCAAGAAAAACACTGCTGAGCATGTTTTTATTTCAGGGTTTGTGTGGTATTCTCTGGAAATTTCTTGTAAAGGAGATTTGTAGCAGTTCTTCAGAATTAGATGGTTGTATGTGGCCCAGCTAGTCTTATCAGAAACTGTGGCGATTTTATAACAAAGTTCAGTTTGAATTTTGACTTAATATTTTTGAGAAGTTTATTGGCAATTTTTCCATGTTTACAGCAGTTCACACCTCCAGTGTTAGCGCTACTGTTTTCAGGAAAGAGAATAATTTATGTTTTTCCTCCTTCATGACTGAATTGTCTGGCAGATACATGGAAATAGAAAACCATGCCAGGAGTTGCCGAGCTTCCTATTTATGGGAGACAGGAAGTAACACAACAGAAAAATAAAGAAATTAATTTGACCAAAGTGTCCCTTTAGACTCACATTGTTTTGTTATGTGTTGTTCAAGCATAGCACAATTTGAACCTTTAAATACTCTTTATCCCACTCTCACTTAATTTGATGATTCCTGCACTTTCCTGTGACTTGTCTAAAATTCTACTTTCCCTCGAAACCCTTTTGTGGATGCTAACATACAAGCAGAGTGTCCTGTGATTCAGTCTTCCCTTTTTCCAGCTACCACTCCGTGTCACTCTGTCCAGCACAGTGAGGAATAACTCAGCCTGTATTCAGATTTTAATATTTTGATTCTGAACAGCTTATGAAAAGGATCTGATAATAGAGATTTAAAGCTAATTCACTTATAAATACAAGTGTAGGGCTTAAAAGCTAAATCAGCTTTACAACAAAATGTCAAGGCCGCTAACTATCAACAGATAATCTAGTGTTTTCTTAATCAAAAATGATTTCATGATGACTATTTTCTTGAGATAATGTGATCCACATTGAACTTAGTAAGCAGTGAGTCAGATGAGATATGTTTTTATCAGTGGTGAGCATAGAATCAATGAACTGTTAGAATAACACACTCAGTTCATTCCGTTCACGCCTCTCATTTTACATTAAAGAAATGCTGAGCCGCTCTCCTAAAATTATAACTCATGGGAGAACCAGAACTGGAATCTCAGCTTTTCACTGGTGTTAGTTCATCACCCTGCATTCCTAAGTCTGTTCAAAAGGGATCATCTTGAAAAACCATTCTCTTTTTAACTTTCAGTTGGCAGATTAACTTCATAACTCATGTTAGGAAGAATCTTCAGGGACATTGTACTTGGTGTGTCACACTGACACTGAGTTTCTGAGGGTGCCCTTCAGGTCTCTCTGGCAGACATTTATTGCTCGCACTTGCAAGCTGACTAGGATCTCAGGCCTGGGTCTCTGAACTTTCACGGCTTGATTTCAAAGTCCTTTTTATCCTGCTACAGATTATACCTTGGTAAAGGACTTTATACTTCACAGAGTGTTTTCACATGCACTGTCTCACTGGATCCTGACAGAACATTTTTGCAGCCGAGAAGGACGCTGCAAATAATTAGTGAATTTAGTGATGGAGACTCTGGGCAAAAATAGCTTGTCTGACTTGAACGTGGATCTTAGAAACACATCTCTGTCAAGGCATTGTTTTAAGGCAGTGACTATGGTCTTACATTTATCTCCAGGACACCTAATTTATACTTTTTCCTGATTAAAATAATGGATTCTGGTTTTGCCCAGACATAGAACCCACAGAGTTTGTCTGCTTCTTTCACTTGAGGTGGTTCCTGAGCAGTGCCAGAGCTCATTCTCTGCGGAGGCTCCTGCAGGCTGCGGCAGCGTGGCCTCTGGCCGCTGGGAGCATGGGAAGCAGGCGCTGCGGTCTAGGTCCTCCATCCCCCTGTCTGCTGCTCCTGGCAAGACCCCAAGGTGCGCATTTCCCAGGTTGGAGCCGCTGTGCTTCCCAGGACCATAATCTGCTGATTGAGGACAGATACCAAAAAGTGATTCATCTGTAAAATTGAGGGCTGTGGTGCTGCCCTCTAGGAGGACATTTGGAAAGATGTGGAGAAACCTGTGAGTGCTAAGAATGACTGATGTTAAAGTTTGAAAGAGTCAAAGTGATTTTTTTAGTGGGAGAAGACTGTGGAGTCACCCTGAGATGCAACCACAGGCTTGATTAGAAATAAAGTTTGATCACCATTTTCAAATTTTTACATTAATATTTTTTAATTTTCGAAAGGTGCTAAACAGAATCTACTTAATGCACCTGGCACAGAAAAGGCAGTGCCCGGGTCCTAAGGCTGCACCTTTGCAAGAAAGAGAAATACCTGAGGCACCGGGAGTGAGGAGGACAGGTGTTGGAGAAGGCTGTAGGGCCCCAGTATGGCTGTGTAGTTCAAGACGAGGGATGCAGAAGCCATCGGACTATTTTAATTACAGAGTGGCAGCTTTTGTCTCTGTGGCCTCTCAGCAAAGAATGGATTGCAGGGAGGTAAGAACAGGGTGAGAAGCAGGAGGCAGCTAGGGTCATCGAGGTGAAAAATGACTGCGGCTGTGTCTAGAGGGGGGGTTGATAGGTGGAGAGGAGAGAGCAGGTCGGCGCCCTTCCTAGGAAGATCTAGTGGAATCTGTAACGTCAGGTGTGTGGGAATGGAGAAGTCAAGAAGACTCCCACCCAAATTTTTTCCTGGGGCGACTAACTATAGATAATGGTGCCATTTGCAGAGTTAGGGAATTCTGGGGCAGAAGATTGTGTGCAAGGTTTGGGGTACAATAAAAAATTGATGTAGGCATATTAGGTCTGAGATTCCTACTGGACATTCAAATAGAGATACTACATATCAGATTATATATATGTACAAATATTCAGAGGAAAGGTTAACTATTCACTCCAGCCATGGTACCTGGAAGGGAGTGTGAATGAAGAAATGAAGAAAACAGTGAGTTTAGGTTTGATCTCTGGGCTGTGCCCCTATGCAGAAGTCAGGGGGAAGGGGGAGGCAGGGGGACCCGGGAACGGCTAGCTAGCAACCTGGGGGAGACACCAGGGGAACATGGCATCAGTCAGAAGGGGGACTGTCTCAGGAAGGAAGGATGCTCAGCTGTGCTGAGTGCTGCTGGAAGGTGAATAAGAGGAGACAGAAGCCACTGTTTGATTTCTTCAGGTGGATGTTGTCAGAGACCTTGAAAAAAGCAGGATGAATCCAATGACTAAGACAGTTGAAGAGTCAATGGTACATAAAGCAGTGGAAGCACTAGGGTTATGTGTAATGGTGCGATTTGCTGAGTTAGGGATTATTATCAGACATATTGCTGATATGTTATTCCTAGACATAATGCTGCTGCTACATCAGAGAGATTGGTTGGCAGCGAATGGGGCACTGTGAAGTGTGACTCGAGCCTTCTCGTGTTGCCAACTGCAACACAGATCATCGTCCTAGTGCTTGGCGATGTGGTTGCATTATGGTGAGTTGAGTGTGGCCTTGGGAAGCATCTGAATCTGTTGGCTGAGTTATCAGGGAAAAAAAATTTAAAAAGTAAACTAAGATTATGTATATTAATGAAAAAGTTGCTGTATTTGGCAAATACTTTAAATGGATAAGGCTAAAAACCAACAAGTCGAGAGGGTACTTGTTGCCACCCATCCTTTTCCAAATCATGGCCTTCAAGGATCACACTGTTGGTCTTTCCTTTTCTTTTAACTTGGATCAACTGTGAAGTAACACAGGTCTTCAGTGTAGATCTCAGTTCCCCAACATTTGCCTTATGACTGAGACCTCCAGGACGTCAACTTGGTCCATGCTGAACTGCAGCACAAATTCCAAGCTTTGACCATACCTCAAGGTGCACTTTAACCTTTGCAGTGTTCTGCCAGACATCTGAACTTTCACTTTTGTTTCTGACATCTCAATCACACAGTTCTCACTGTAAATATTAAATAATAGCACAGAATATTTTAACTTCAGGTATTCATTGGAAAATTCAACCATGGTTTGGTTTTATCTGTCACTTCAAAAACTGTCTTCAGCTGTCCATCATTTAGATGTCATTTAGATGTTCCTCAGGGACTTTGGGGACATTGTTAACAATCTGTTATTTCAAGGCTTCTAAACTCTATCCCCAAGTTAAAATGATTTCCAAGGAACATCATACTTCTCTTACAGTCTGTGTGTAAGCACCCTCTGTGAATTCGGTTTTAGGGACAATGTTAGCTTTTGAAGAGAGCTGATGTAAGAAATACTAGATTTTAGGAAACTGTTGTACTTTTTTCAAAGCTATATTTGACGACATTGTACATTTTGCTACCTGATACTTTTGATGTATGATCCACCTAATGCCTTTCTCCTAAAATTAATTTCCAATGAATTGAATAGGAATTCCAAATGAAATGAATTTCATAGGAAAATCTCATACAGAAAATTTGTTAGGCTGTCCTTAACCAGAGAATGAGAATTATGTAATGCGGTTTTGTCAGCTAGAGTAACAGCTTGCCATAGGTTCATAATAGAGCTGTTTTTTAGTTCTTTTTCTTGGGTTCTTGTTTCTGAAAGAAAGTTTCTCTGCCAGAATATTGAAGTTGTGCCTAAGTTAATAATTTAACAAGCATTGTATATATTAATAATATAATATCAATAATGCTATTAATCATTAATAACAATTATTTAATATTAATATTAAATACTTAATATTAAATTTTTAGAATATTAAAATTTAAAATTTAAAAAATAAAATTTATCAAAAAAAATTTTTTTTTTACTTTTGAAGCATTGGTTTTATTAAACTTTCAAAGTAGTATGGCAAAAAGGTGGCCACATACCAAATAGTGTCATACATTTCTTAAAATCTCTCCTAGCAAATAAACTTAAATTGAGATCATGAGTCAGTTGAAAAGACAATTTAATTTTTTTGCCATACAATTAAAGTATTTCTGAGAAGTCAGAGTGCTTTGCAATGTTTGGTGAATAATTTACACAATTCCAGAATAATGTCTCACTTATGGAGAATACACCTACCACTTACTTCGATAAACAGAAGTAGAGTCTATGGTTTCTTTCTTTTTTTTTTTTTTTTTAGCTGCTAAAGATTATTATTAGGACAGAAGGACAATTAGCTTTAAAAGCATTGCTCAGAACATGTATTTTTTTTTCTAGTATTCTTTTTTTTTTATTATACTTTAAGTTCTAGGGTACATGTGCACAACATGCAGGTTTGTTACATATGTATGCATGTGCCATGCTGGTGTGCTGCACTCATTAACTCGTCATTTAGCATTAGGTATATCTCCTAATGCTATCCCTCCCCACTCCCCCGACCCCACAACAGGCCCTGGTGTGTGATGTTCCCCTTCCTGTGTCCATGTCTTCTCATTGTTCAATTCCCACCTATGAGTGAGAACATGCGGTGTTTGGTTTTTTTGTCCTTGTGATAGTTTGCTGAGAATGATGGTTTCCAGCTTCATCCATGTCCCTACAAAGGACATGAACTCATCATATTTTATGGCTGCATAGTAGTCCATGGTGTATATGTGCCACATTTTCTTAATCCAGTCTATCATTGTTGGACATTTGGGTTGGTTCCAAGTCTTTGCTATTGTAAATAGTGCCACAGTAAACACACGTGTGCATGTGTCTTTATAGCAGCATGATTTATAGTCCTTTGGGTATATACCCAGTAATGGGATGGCTGGATCAAATGGTATTTCTAGTTCTAGATCCCTGAGGAATCGCCACACTGACTTCCACAATGGTTGAACTAGTTTACAGTCCCACTAGCAATGTAAAAGTGTTCCTATTTCTCCACATCCTCTCCAGCACCTGTTGTTTCCTGACTTTTTAATGATCGCCATTCTAACTGGTGTGTGATGGTATCTCATTGTGGTTTTAATTTGCATTTCTCTGATGGCCAGTGATGATGCGCATGTTTTCATGTGTCTGTTGGCTGCATAAATGTCTTCTTTTGAGAAGTGTCTGTTCATATCCTTCGCCCACTTGTTGATGGGGTTGTTTTTTTCTTGTAAATTTGTTAGAGTTCTTTGTAGATTCTGGATATTAGCCCTTTGTCAGATGAGTAGATTGCAAAAATTTTCTCACATTCTGTAGGTTGCCTGTTCACTCTGATGGTAGTTTCTTTTGCTGTGCAGAAGCTCTTTAGTTTAATTAGATCCCATTTATCAATTTTGGCTTTTGTTGCCATTGCATTTGGTGTTTTAGACATGAAGTCCTTGTCCATGCCTGTGTCCTGAATATTATTGCCAAGGTTTTCTATGCTATAGAAATAGCATATTTCTATGCTATTCATCATTAATAACAATTATTTAATAATATTAATATTAAATAGTTAATATTAAATTTTTAGAATATTAAAATTTAAAATTTTTTTAAAAATAAATATTTTATATTAAATTATCAAATAAATATTAATAATAATTATTTAATATTATAAAATTAATAATCTTTCATTATTGAATTATTGATTGAGTTAAGTAATTAATTGATTAACTGATAAGGATTATTGTTAAATTATTGTACTCTTGGGTAGTACAGAGACTGCATACTGCGCTTTGCCATGTAAATACTATTGTCTACTTCCTGGTACGTGGCTCTAGGGAGGCTATGGCAGAGTCAAGTGCTTTTGCCCTTAATGTGAACAAAAAATAGTGATTGCTCTTAGTAGCCATAATATTTGGTTTATTGTCTGTGTTGGTAATAATTTCTGCTGTGTTTTCATACAGTGAAGTGATGTTTCTGCTGTTTATTTTAGTTGCATTGGAATTTGTTATATTTATTTCTTTGTTTTCCTTTTGATAAGAGAAGTACGCACTTAGTTATTTATAAAGATGTTTGGACTTCACATGTGAGTACAGTGGTGACATGCTGGGTTTTCCTGGTCATTGCTTAGCTGTATTTATAAAGTGAATATTACTGAGCAGTTAAGCCTTAACATCGAGAATCACCCATTTTCATTTTTGAAAACTGGAAAGGATTAGGTAGAATGCAAGGAGAATAAATTGAACTTAAATGTTTGTGTTCAATTGAGGTGAGCTTTTTCATAAGAATATTCAAGCCTAGGTCAACATGCAGCTTGTTTTCCCTCTCACCACCTGGAATTCAGTCTCTATCGGTCAATGTCTTCTAAAAGGGAAATGGGTTCTTAACTATATACTTTTAGTACTTTATTGCTTATCTTCCCTTTCTTGGTTGAATAGGCTGTGTTAGATATTTAGCTTCCTGCCCCTTTCTTTATGAGACAGCTAGAGCAGTGCTTTTCAAAACCTTACTAATGTGTGGATCACCTGGGGGATCTTACTGAAGTGCAGATCCTGGTTCAGTGGGTCTGGGTCTGCTCAGGCTTGAGGTGAGGTCCACGCTGCTAGTCCTGTGACCCAGCATTAGGTCCCCAGGATACAAAATATGACCGGGGATCTCTGTCGTATTCGGGGGTGGAGATGAGACAGCGTCCCAATGATGTTAGTCACATGGAACATTTAGAGATGCGGAGCTACTTTGTCAGTGTTTTACACATCGTCAAGCTGTTAGTCAAGACAGTAATCCTCTGTGGAAACTGTGGCTTGAACACTTTCAGTAAATTGCTCATGGTCATAGTGCTTGGAAATAGTAAATTTTTTTTTTTTTTCTTTGAGACAGAGTTTCGCTCTGTTGCCCAGGCTGGAGTGCAGTGGCACGATCTTGGCTCACTGCAACATCTGTCTCCCAGGCTCAAGCAATTCTTGTGCCTCAGCCTCTTGAGTAGCTGGGATTACAGGTGCATGCCACCACACCTGGCTAATTTTTATTTTTTGTAGAGACAGAGTTTCACCGTGTTGTCCAGGCTGGTCTCAAACTCCTGACCTCAAGTGATCCGCCGACCTTGGCCTCCCAAGGAACTGGGATTACAGATGTGAGCCACTGCATCCTGCCAGAAATGGTGAATTTTGAATTTGAATTC